>NC_000006.12:164161699-164313214 GCF_000001405.40 Homo sapiens
ATAGGATCATATAATATTATCATCAGTCATTACTAAGGGCCCATGAGGTTCCTGATGTATTTTTTTTTAATCCATGCTCAACTGCAGATGTGCAGGTGCAGTGTAGGTGTCCAGTTGGGCTTGGCCATGGTTTTGATTTAGTCTAGAAATAAAGGAAATTGAGGAACTGATTCAAGGGAGTGATTATAACAATTGCCTATGAAATTAAAGCTGTGTAAGAAAAAAAGTAAGGACACTAGTGGAGTGAAAGGTAGAACAAAGATAGGCCTGAAAGTCCTTGTTAGTAAAAACTAACAGACCGGCCAGTGTGCCCTCCAGTGTAGAGATTGATTTGGAAAACTTGGAGGTAGGGAGGGGAGGGTAGAATCCTTGAAATTTAGATTGTAGAGGGGCTGCTCTTACTGTCATGAAAATATCTGGGGTTTGTCAATTGGAATGAATTGGCTGAAGTGTAGTAAAGATCATTGGAGAAGGGGTCAAAAAACAAGGAGACTGGGCTATAGGAAGGACTGTCTAGGTGGATACAAATGTCACTGGAAATCATAGTGGGAACAGTGCTGGAGGGTGTGTATGAGTCAGGAGCTAACTCTTCAAGGAAGGAGGAGTGTCCCTGGGTGTGATAGGTGATGGCCCCAGAGAGAAGTGATGAGCAGTGTTGTCTGATGGCTCAAGACCCAAAGGCTGAAACATGGGGCTCAGCTGTCACCTTTTGGTCTACTTGCTATAGCTCCTCTGTAGCATTTATCTGGTAAAGCACAACTTGGCTGGGAAAGGAACAACTATTTAGCTGGGTTTGTGGACCTCTTGGGACATTACAGTTTGTCAGGACTCTACCAAATACAATTTAACCCTGTTTTACAAATTGATCAGAAATGGAGCCATATCTGATTGATCTTCCTAATTCTACCACTGCTTTTGTCACCAGACCCAGAGAGAGCGCTTCTTTTTCAAAATTCTTTTATGACGTTGTTCTAGAATACTTTCTAGGAATGCAGATTCCAAACTTGGCTTGCCAGATCCTTGAGGAATTATGAAAAAATTACTGGAAGAATTTTTCAAGTCATTATCAATTTTCAAATACCTTGATGGAAATTATACATTTACCCCAAATAACATCACATAAGCTAATTAAAAGTCTCTTTTGCCTTAACTCTTAGGATTATACCAATTCAAAGGGGTTTTCTTATGTCTGAATAAATGATTCCCATATGAAAACACAACTACTTGGGGAATTTGAGGCATGTTTCATTACCTCATTAATCCAGTCACCGGCCATCCATGCAAAAGTAGTCCTTGAAGGAAACTATGATTACAGACAGATAACAAACTATGAAAAATTAGCAGAAGTTAATTCTCTAATATTAATCATAGGAATAAATTAAATTGAGAATTTGAACTCATTTAATCAAGGTGTCATAGGCATTTGAACCAGAGTAACTCCATCTTGAATAGGAGCTGGGTAAAATAAGACTGAGACCTACTGGGCTGCACTTCCAGGAGGTTAGGCATTCTTAGTCACAGGTTGAGATAGGAGGATGGCACAGGGTACAGTTCACAAAGACCTTGCCGATAGAACAGGATGCAGTTAAGAAGCCAGCCAAAAGCTGCCAAAACCAAGATGACAATGAAAGTGAGCTCTGGTTATTCTCATTGCTCATTATATGCTAATTGTAATGTATTAGCATGCTAAAAGACACGCCCACCAGCGCCATGACAGTTTACAAATGTCATGGCAACATCAGGAAGTTACTCTATATGGTCTAAAAGGAAGAGGAACCCTCAGTTTCAGGAATTGCCCACCCCTTTCCCAGAAAACTCATGAATAATCCACCCCTTGTTTGCATATAACCAGGAAATAACTGTAAGTATACTCAGTTGAGCAGCCCATGCAGCTTCTTGGCATATGGAGTAGCCATACTTTTATTCCTTTACTTTCTTGATAAAGTTGCTTCCACTTTATGGAATTGTCCTAAATTCTTTCTTGTGTGAGGTCCAAGAACCCTCTCTTGGGGTCTGGATGGGGACCCTTTTCCAGTAACAAAGGGATAGCAAATAGGTTTTATTTTGCATGAGAGCTTATTGATAGGCTCTGTCGACATCTGTGTTGAGAAAGCTTCTGGATTCAAGTCTGATCTCAACAGGATGGTTCTACGATGGATTGGCTGTGTGTGTCAAGGGCAGAGCATACCTAAACTAATCTAAGGCTTCATTTATTTATTCATCTGAGTAATTTAAAGGACTTGGTGATATAAATAGGAAGTTGATGAGAAAAGTTTGTCCAGAGACATTAAGAAAATTGCCAAAGGCACGCCATAAGTAAGTGGTAGAGGAAGGACATCAGATCTGTTCAGGACTTCATGAGAATCACAGAATCACGTTCTCAAAGCCATGTCCTAGGGCAGTCAGTGAGCAGAGAAAGCTTCAGTAGAAATAACATTACATGAAAATCAGAAAATCCTGGACTTCATTTCATGTTTTGCCACTATCTGAGATGTGTGACTACTCAGGATTAATCTCATAAAGCTTAAGTTTTCAGATGGTAAAATGAGACATTCGTTCTAGATCACGTCTATGACAGTTCCAGCTCTGAAAAGTCAAAACGAACAACAAAGAAAACCAACCAAAGCAAAACAAACATGCAAACAAAGAAACATGAAGCTCTCCAAAACAGTCTTATCTGGCTTTTGTCTCTCATTCTTCATTGTTTACATCATATGGCAAAGATAATTTTTTTCTCATGCCTTTTTTGTCTCTAGACTAATTTGATTGCTTCTTCATTATTCTGCCTCACCTTCCTTTTCTTCAGAGTTAACAATGATTATGGAGAGGTTCACAAGTTAAGAGCAAAGGGAACTTCTCTGAGACTACATGGTACTTTTATAGCTCATTTACTCCTCTCAGCAAAATAGATATTATAAATACTATTATGACCATTGTACACTGGAAGTTACAGAGGCTCAGCGATGTCAAATGACTTTCTGACAAAATGCTGGAAAATGACCGAGCATAGAATAAGTTTAAACTCTCATCTGTGATTCCAAACAAATGCTCTTTTATCACATTGTCCTGCTCTTCTCACCAAAACATAATGAGCTGTTAGCCTGTAAGACCTGAGTTCTAGACTTGGCATGGTTAATTTAGGAAGCTGTTTTATTTCCTCCTTAAACTCCAGCTAGGCCTTGTTTTAGGAAGCTAAGTGTTTTCCCATGACTGCATCGTATTTTGCATAATAAAATCCAAGAATTTGGAACACCAATCACTAGATGCATACACCTCCTCTTCATAGGAAAATGCCTATTGCTCTAAGTATCACATTTGAGACTTTTCCAAGAGGTAGGCTGTGAGCTTTTGCAAGTCATTGTAGGAAAAACATTTTTGAGCAAAGACTCCTGAGGAGAGCAGTCATTAGCTCCTGCGCCATGCAAACATCTTTTGAAGCTCTCCAGCAGGAAGCTTGATAGTGACTCAGTGAGCAAATGCAAATGCAAATGGTATTTGCTACGAAAGTACAGAATTCCTCTAAGGGAATCTTGGGCTAGCACAAAACAACTTTGAATTTAGGCAATGTATATTATGAAAGAAAAGCTGTTTATCACCCCACACTCTGGTTTGCTACAGCAGGAAAGAGCTTTTTCCTCCCCATTAAGAAAATAATTGAGGCTAATTTCATTCTTGCATATAAACTATGTGGCTGTTTAGTTCTCTTGTTGAGTTCTTGGACACAGGTTGTTCTAGGAGCTTGTGGGGCAGTAAGCAAGTTGTTCTCTGACACTTCTTGGTGGCATTTGAATCAGTGAAAGTCTCTTACAATAGGGTAGCAGAGCCAAGGAGGAAAATGGTAACAAGCTCTACCCTAAAGTTGCAGCTTCAGGAAGAACTAATTTTGGTTCTTATTTCTGGATTTCATTTTTAAGAGTGGGCTTCTGATTTAAGAGGTTTAACACACATGCTTGAACATACATGCTTTTTTTTTTGAGAGAAGGTCACCATAACCTCTCAAGCTACCCGGACCTGTTAGAAATGTAAATTTTGTCTTTTCCCAGACAGTGGAGTTTCTTCAAATTCTGGAAACACCACTGTTCTTTATGCCCTTGGCTTCTAAGAAGATGTGCTGCTCATATAGCCAAGCAAACATCTAAAGGACACTGTCTAGAGCAGCAACTGAGGCAAATCCTCTTGTAAGGATGTCAAGGAAGCAACAGCTATGTTTGGAAATCTCTTTCATTCCTATCTGCAAAGCCCATGCCATCCTCCACACTCTCTTCTACCTGAAAAAAATCTTTGCAGGAGATTTCATAATGAGCCCTGACTACTCAGTTAAAAACCCGTAGGAAGAATGGCTGTTGCCTCTATATTCATCTTTTTCTTTTCCCTTGGACATTGCCTATGAAGCATTTTAGTACAGCACCTGGCACAAAGTACACAATGTTCACTGCTCTTTTTTCCATTTGGTAAATACATTTTGATCCCATTGTGTTCCAGAGCGTATACTACACATTGGGGAAACAGAGTGAAGCTGTGAGGTCATCTTGGAGGAGCTCACATCTTTATTTCTTTCTCAGCATTTAGCACAACGTCCAACGTCTCACACCTGGAAGATGCTTAATAATATGGCATAAAAATTGAGTTAATTGCCATCTCCCACTTCACTAAGCTCTGTCTACGGAGTCTGCAGATTTTTGTTGCATCTCTTGAGATCCCCTCCCAATGGCTTGAATAACTTGATTGTAGCTGAAATGGCTCATTCCAGACTTGAACACCACATTCTTTCACCAGCAGAGGCCATAGTCATGCAATCGTGCACGGGGAATAACCTGGGAAGCAAGAGACCCTCCACCCGGTGTTGGGGCTTCTCAGCATTTCCCATTTGCTCCTGCTTCTGTTTCTTCCATTTTCTGTTCTTTCAGTACAAAACTGGCTTGCCTGCTCCTGCAGAATGCCGTCCCGGGAAAGCCCTGGCTGAGGCTCTCACCATGCAGTGTGCTCTGCCTTCTCACGTGGAGTCCTGGTGGCTGCCCTTGCCCGAGTCCCTCTCCTCTCCTCATGAGCCTGTGAACACCTTCACCTCCTCTGCGCATGCTGGGGTCTCCCTGGCCCCAGAGCCCTGCTCAGGTGCCTGTGGGCACTCTGAATGATGATGCTCTCCCTGAAGCTGACTCCAGCACCACTGCACCCCCGGCTCCCTTTGCTTTTGCTTCTCAACTGTCTCTAAAGTCAGGAGACTTGGCTTTCAGGCTTAACAGCAAATTCTAACTTTGCCTTCTGTTTGGCGTGAGGCAAAATGACCAATGCAGAATACGGGGGTGTGGAGCCCATTGTTTCTGGACAACTGGGTGCCTTTGTTTCTCATGGGTTCACTTCTCTGGTGGGTTCACTTCTCTGGTGGGTTCACTTCTCTGGTGGCAGCCTCTTGCTGTGCCGCCAAGCAGTGAGCTGTCCTGGAGAAGTTCTGCTCTAATTACACCTGATCATGAACTGTCAGGAATTCTGGCCAGCACAACATCCATGCAGCACGCTGGCTGGGAAAAATCCCTCAGACTTGGGACTTGAAGGGCACAAGTAACCTTCTGGCATTAGCCACTGCAAGTGTGGTCCCCTGACCTACAGCACAGGTGGCACCTTGGCGCTTATTAGAAATGCAGAATCTGAGGCCTTTTGCCAGACACACTGAGTGAGAGCCTGCGCATTACCCAAAGCCTATGTGTGCTGCCATTGACAAGCATTGTGTTCTCTTTCACTAGTTCCCGGGTAGGAACCCGGCTACCTTTCAAGGTGTCAGAATATTTTCTAAAATATATGTGTACTTTGTGTGTGTGTCACAAACCATTTCTGGCATTGTAGACACGTTTTGAAAAACTACGAGGTTTGCTACAAAATTCACCAAATGCCATGGAGGAAAGGCCACACCTCCATATAGTAAATATCAAGTACAATTCCCATTTAAAAATTAGCATTACTCATAACTGCCCTGAGGGAATTCACTTCTAATAGACTCAAACTATATAAAGTACATTAATTCTCTGCCTTTACAACAAAGCAAGATGGACAGGGATGGCCAATACTTCTCCAGCACTGCATGGGGCATCGGTGGGACTCGCAGTGAACAGCCAGGCTCAGCAGAGCATCTCCTGATGGTATCTGAATGGGCAACTTTAAGAAGACCAGCAAACACTTTCAAAGTTGCAGCTGAAGGGCACCTGAGTGAGGCAGCTGTGGGCCAATGTACTTTACAAGGGTTTACGCAAAAACAAATGGGTTCCTGTGGTTTGGTTCTGTAGGAAAGTGCCAGTGTTGACTTTGCAGAGCAGGACTCTGGAATGCAGATCGCCTGGGTAATGATGGACATGTGAGCATCGGAAGGCCAGTGGCTTGTGTTGTCCAGGCTCAGGGTCAGAGGCCGGTGCTGCGTTGCTGGTGAGACTCAGGGACACAATGAAGCCCTGGCTGTAGCTTGATCAATTTCCCTCCAGAAGTCAGAGGCTGCCCGTTGGTCCCTCGGGCAACACTGCCATCTGGATGCCAGGTTCATTAACCTCAGACCTCCACTGACCAGGCAGCACTGAGCTTGTCACCAGGGGCAGGAAATGTCCTTTGCTTACCTTATATTCCCTATGGCTTTGCAAACAAGCCATTCTTCATGGTTGGTCTTAAACCTTAGCATAATTTTATCCTGATTTATACCCAAGTCCCCACGTTTCCCCTTGAGGAGACTATACACTTTGGTGCTGTGTGAAGTGATGCCTGTCTATGCTGTTTCTAATCCATTTGTAAAACCATTTACAAGCTGATTGGAGATGCAAGGTGGTCTATAAATGCCTGGTAATGATGATTGGGATGCTCCTGAGTGATGAAAGATAACTCGCCTCGCAGCAGGGCAGAGATGCCTTCCCCTTTCCTCAAATGCTCTCTGACTAATTGGTATGAAAGAAAGGAAACCTCCCTCTGGAAAGCTTGATGTCTGATTTGCTGGGACTAATCAGCACAGAAAAACCCCGAACCACTCTGAGAGGGATTATGGTTATGAACGGTGAGTTCTGTTTGTTTTGAGTTGGTAGTGCTTTTAGGTCTGTGGAAGTGAGCCTGGCAGTGCACTGACGCCTTCATGGACGCCACAGGAAGTTCTGAGCAGATGCCCAGGAATGAAGGCCATTGTGTACTTCGCTCTTACAGAGAACAGCTACGGGAGCACAGCACTTTGAAGCTTTTTGTTTCATTTTATTTTATTTATTTATTTATTTATTTGAGATGGAGTTTCATTCTGTTGACTGGAGTGCAGTGGTGCAATCCCAGCTCACTGCAACCTCCGCCTTCTGGGTTCAAGCGATTCTCCTACCTTAGCCTGCTGAGGAGCTGGGATTACAGGCCCCGCACCACTGCACCCGGCTAATTTTGTATTTTTAGTAGAGACGAGGTTTCACCATGTTGTCCAGGCTGGTCTTGAACTCCTGACCTCAGGTGATTCTCCTGCCTTGGCCTCCCAAAGTGCTGGGATTACAGGTGTGAGCCACCGTGACTGGCAGCTTCATTTTAAAAATATGACTCTTCTCTGTTATTAACATTGCTTCCCTTGACAGCTACGGTCAAGGACAGGCTGAGGGGGAACCTTGGGAGCAGATGGAGTGCATTGCAGGGGGTCCTCATGATCTCTAGTGATGTTGCTCACCGTGAATTCACATCTGTGGCAAAGCTCTTCTCTTTCTCAGATCTATCCTTCCTTCTTTCTAGTGCAGTCTTTGGTGTTTGCCTGCCCTATTATTTCCCTTCAAATATAATTCTATGCCAGTTGTAAGAGGTGGGAACGCTACAGGAAAAGGCGGAGGAGGACTGGCACTTGTGCACGAAGGTCCTGTTGCTGAAATCCCAGTGGAGTAACTCGGAGGAAGTGACTTGAAACAGTGGATGTGTTTCCCGTGCTGTAAGTGTGTAGGAGGGCAGAGCTGAGTTTTCTCTGCCTACAGGGTCTAATATATGACTTTTATTCCTACAACCGGCTAACCAAAAATATGCCTTGTTCAAGGCAATGAGCTTTTTTAAGTTTCTTTTTTTTTTTACCAGAATATCTTATATTTGTGTGTGAATATTTTTAAAATTTTATAATCTGCCATAAATATTTTTTGCCAGAATACATTAAACCAGATTGCATATCTTCCTCACGTTGACTTCAGAGGAAACTCTTTTTATTCTTATAAATTAAACAAAAACGTATTCCTAAGGCTCTAGTGTACAGATGTACACTCGTATTACATATACACACCTATTATCTTAAACTTTTTAGTTATAAATAAAGCAGAATTCAGCTTTTGAGTTATTTATTTATTTATTTACTTGAGATGGAGTCTCACTGTGTTGCCCAGGCTGGAGTGCAGTGGCGTGATCTCAGCTCACTGCAACCTCTGCCTTCCAGGTTCAAGCGTTTCTCCTGCCTCAGCCTCCCAAGTAGCTGGGACTACAGGCGTGTGCCACCACGCCTGCTAATTTTTGTATTTTTAATAGCGACGGGGTTTCACCATGTTGGCCAGGCTGGTCTTGAACTCCTGACCTCAGGTGATCCACCTGCCTCAGCCTCCCAAAGTGCTGGGATTACAGGGGTGAGCCACTGCACCCTGCCAAGCTTTTGAGATTTTTATAACATTACGGGTATTTCAAATTTTCTGATGGTGTGAGTGCATACTCCCCCTTTTCCAGTAACTTATGTTTCTTTAGCATAAGTGAAATACAGAAGGCCAACAGCCATAGGAAATATTTCCTTTTACCCTGCACCCTTTGTATACTTTTGAGATTCCCCCCTTTTTTTTTTTTTTTGCTTCAAGAACAAACTATTGAATATCTCTTTCTTTACTTTCTACTCCAACAGCTAAACTCATATCCAACAATGCTCTTCCTTTAGATGTGTCATTGGCTCTCAGACTGACTGCCACAGATGAGCACCTCCTCATTGCCTGGCCTGTGCTATATTCATCGTGTCCATAGCATGGCTCATGGAGCCATGGAGGCACGAAGCATGGGATGACCCCGAATAGGCAGCAAGGTAGGGACAGAAAGGAGGCTGAGGCGTACGGAGCACCATTGATGCTCTGGAGACTATGCCCAGAGATTTCAGTGTTATTTCACTTTAAAAATGTCACTATCATTATTTTAAAAATTAATACAAGTGCATGAAACAAATCAAACAGTACAAAAGACAGACAATGCAGTACCATCCTCCCCATCATTCCCAGGTCTGGTCCCCCGAGGAGAGGAAACAGGTTCTACGTCCTTCCAGCGATAGCCTGGAATGAGCAGGCACATGACGGATTCCCGGTCAGTGTATGTGTGTACCCAGAAACTAGCGCACCATGTACGTTTTTCTAAACCTCATTTTTTTCACTTAGTATAACCTTGTGCATTGCTTTATGTCCATGTATAAATCTACCTCATTATTTTTGATGGCTATATAATCCTTATAGTTTATTTAACTAATTTAATCTATTGGGGTTTGATCAGGCAAGTGGGCCCACTCTGAGTGATCTGGAAGAACGAGACCTCACACAGTCGAATTCTGCTCTGGGCGTTGGAGCCAGCAGCCCGTGTAAGTCTTGACTCCACACCTGGAGCTCAGTCTGAAGTCAGTGGGGTGAGCTGTTGACCATAAAGCAGGGGTGGGGGTGCGGTAAGGAAAAACTAGAACCTGCGAGGATAAGGGAAAGCCATGGCTTTCTCTCACCACATTTATTTTTGACCACTCAGGGCACCTGCCAGCTAAGCTGGTGCCCTTTTCCATGGAACCAGACTCACACCTGACTGAGATTCCGAGACAAATGCAGTAGGAGCTGCACAACTGGCTGCTGCCCTCTCTGCAAGTTAGTGAGCAGCATACTGGGAGGGGCACTAACACCTGCCGTGCACCAGCTTTCAAGCCCAACACATGCTGCGGTACTGTCTTCCAGCCCTTGCACATGTCTCTTGTGATGAGCTGCAATCCAGAAACTTATAAGGAGGGGAATTCTGGGAAACCAGCTTTAATATTGAGTGTCAACTTGATTGGATTGAAGGATGCAAAGTATTGTTCCTGGGTGTGTCTGTGAGGGTGTTGCCAAAAGAGATTAACTTTTGAGTGAATTGCCTGGGAGAGGCAGACCCACACTCAATCTGGGTGAGCACCATCTAATCAGCTGCCAGCATGGATAGAATAAAAGCAGGCAGAAGAACATGGAAGGACTAGACTGGCTGAGTCTTCCAGTCTTCATCTTTCTCCCGTGCTAGATGCTTTCTGCCCTCTTACATTGGACTCCAAGTTCTTAAACTCTTGGGCTTACACCAGCGGTTTGTCAGGGGCTCTCAGGCTTTCAGCCACAGACTGAAGCCAGCACTATCAGCTTCCCTACTTTTGAGGTTTTGGGACTCAGATTGGCTTCCTTCTCCTCAGCTTGTAGACAGCTTATTGTGGGACCTCAACTTCTGACTGTGTGAATCAATACTCCTTAATAAATTCCCTTTCATATATATGTCTATCCTATTAGTCCTGTCCCTCTAGAGAACCCCGACTAATACAGCTGGTTCCAGCTGAGCCGAGCTGGAGGAGACAAAGCCTCTATGCGCGTACAACACTGGTGGAGACTTAGACTGGCCCCATCTTTGGCATCTGCAAACAGTGCTGTGATGAATAGCTTGGTACATGTGGCTTTTTTCACTTGTGTATGTATAGCTAGAAAATTAATTTCTGGAAGTAGAATTGCTGGGCCAGAGGATATGTGCATTTTTTATTTATTAGATATTGTTAAGTTTCACTCCAAAGAGGTTGTACCAGTTCATATTCCTGTCAATGATGTATGAGAGTTCAGATTACCTGACATACTCATCAACAGGATATATTATCCTACTTTTCAATCTTTTTGGATTCAACAGGTGAAAACAACAAAAACTAACATATTTCAATGCGGTTTTAATTTGCATTTCTTTTTACAAAGTATGTGGTTGAGCATCTTTTAAACATGTGAAATCCACTTGTTTTTTTTTTCTCTTACTACCTTTAGCTATTTTCCTATTGCATTCATTTTCTAGTTCTTTATATTCATTAATAAGTGTCTTATATATTACAAATTTTATTTATTGTGTATATGGCAAGATTGTTTCCCAGTGTGTATTCTGTCTTTTGGGCTGGTCTAATGGTAGTGGGTTATCAGAACTTATTAACATTAGTGTATTTTGTCTTTCCCATTTTGTTTATGCAGAAATTTAGTTTAATGATATTACACTTATCCTATTTGTATTATAGAGAGTTGAGCTTCCTGCTTTTAGAAGGAATTATTTGTTTTGTTTTTCACAAAGGTCTGAAAGATAAGTAATATAATTCCCATTCTACCAATGAGAAATATCTTCCTAGAAGTTAACTCAGTGACATAAAGTCACACACTGTGACGCCATGTGGCTAGGGAGGCCTCACAATCATGGTGGAAGGTGAAAGGCACTTCTTACATGGTGGTGGCAAGACAGAATGAGAGCCAAGCGAAAGGGATTTCCTCTTGTAAAACCATTGGATCTTCTGAGACTTATTCACTAACATGAGAACAGTATGGGGGAAACTGCTACCGTGATTCAATTATCTCCCACCAGGTCCCTCCCACAACACATGGGAATTATGAGAGCTACAGTTCAAGATGAGATTTGGGTGGGGACACAGCCAAACCATATCACACACTAACAGGTTATGTCTGTCAGGGTCCCAACAGGAAACATGGGGCACAGTCAAATTTGGTATTTGAGGAAAGTTTAATAAAGGGCCTATTTTCCAAAGGTGCGGACACAGTGTTGGAAAATCACAAGAACCAGGGTAGTTTCCTGGGGCTATTAACAGTGGGAAGAGCCATCATCACCCCTAGGGCAGAGGCATGAAGGGTTGGAGTGATGATGAAAATCTGAGGGTCACGCTTGAGGGGCAGGAGGTCACCAGAGAGGAGCCGTCCACTTTCATGGAAGGACATAGCCACTCCATGGGAAGTGCTGCACCTGTGAGAAGCTGGAGGAATAAATACCTTCCCTCTATCTCTTTCCCAACAGATCTCTATTGCTAAAGCCCAATGGCTGAGCCTTTGTGGGAGCCAAGGCCTGGGAGGCCTCTGATGCTTGGATACAAATCTGCCTCCCGGAACCTAGAGCAGGTGGAGATTGGGCCTGGAGGAGCAAAGAGAAGACACAAAACAGCAAAGTGACCTAACTCAGTCCTGGCACTCTCCAAAGGCTCAGCTCCTGACAGAAACCATGCCTCCTCCCACAATCACACATGACCCTAGAGAAATGGGGAATGAGTCAAAACTGGAAGTGGGTTGTGATGATCAGGGTAACGTTTTTGTACTGACGGGGGTTTAAAGATGATTTGGGATGCAGCTGGCTAATCATAGTTTAATATATACTTATGACATTTAAGACCATAAAAATCGACCATCCTGGCTAACACGGTGAAACCCCGTCTCTACTAAAAAGACAAAAAACAATTAGCCGGGCATGGTGGCGGGCGCCTGTAGTCCCAGCTACTCGGGAGGCTGAGGCAGGAGAATGGCGTGAACCCAGGGGGCGGAGCTTGCGGTGAGCCGAGATCGCACCACTGCACTCCAGCCTGGGCGACAGCAAGACTTCGTCTCAAAAAAAAAAAAAAAAAAAAAAAAGACCATAAAAACCACCTGGCCCTTTAGGATTATGATGGAAGGAGAGGAGATCAATGAAATTCACTGGGCATAAGTAAAAATCTCTGGTCAGTGCGATGATATGTGAAGGGAAAACAAGGAGATACAGGGGAGATGAAATTAATGTACAGCCGGGTCACTAGAGTCAAAGGCTTTTGTGCATTTGAGTAGGGGGATGTGTCATTTCTAACGGCAGTGGACGTGTCCACTAGAATTGTTATATCTTCCTCCCACACTGGTCAATTTTTTGAGAGAAGTAAGCTAGCACCAACTTCTGCTACACAGGAGAGCCATAGAAAACTGGAGATTCAAAGGCACATCCTGGAGCTTATTCTAAGTTTGAAAAAGGTAAGGATGGCAGGAAATGGGTCCTGAGATACGGTTATGATCTAGAAGGAAAGAAGCCTGAATGCTCTATTGAAATACTTTCTGGAAATGCCACTTCCCTTTAGCAATGAGACTTGTGTGCAGGGGTGAATTTGTGCAAGGAGAAGCATGAATAGGATGGTGTTTTAGATGTCGAATTACTCCAATGAGAGATGAAAGCCTAAGCCAGGAGCAACGGGGAAACAGAGGGTGGAGTTGGGGATCATTAGGAAGAAACTATGTCCAAGACTTAAAAATCAAGGGAAAAGGCTGGGTGCGGTGGCTCACGCCTGTAATCCCAGCACTTTGGGAGGCCGAAGTGGGCGGATAATGAGGTCAGGAGATCGAGACCGTCCTGGCTAACACGGTGAAATCCCACCTCTACTAAAAATACAAAAAATTAGCTGGGCGTGGTGGTGGGTGCCTATAGTCCCAGCTACTCGGGAGGCTGAGGCAGGAGAACCGCGTGAATCTGGGAGTTGGAGCTTGCAGTGAGCCGAGATCGCGCCACTGCACTCCAGCCTGGGCGACAGAGCGAGACTCCATCTCAAAAAACAAAAACAAAAACAAAAACAAAAACAAAAAACATCAAGGGAAAAGGAAACGTGACATCATGCAAACCTAAGGTTTTTATGATGGAGAACATTGGTATACTACAGAGAACTGCAGCATCAGGAGTAAAGCCAGCAGAGGTCATAAGTCCAGCAGGCTCTTTGTTCCGAGTTGCTGCAGATCATTCTGGTGGATGTATCCTCCAGACAGCTGGAAATATGAACCTGGAGCTTGGTGGAAATTGGATACTAAATTATTATCTCCCTAGAATTGAGAGTTAAATTTTTGATAGATAAGTAAGACATGGAGAAAAGGAGAGGAATGAGGCTGGAAATGAGCGACTCATTCATTTGAGAAACACATAAACGCATACCTCTTTTAAGTGTTAGGTACTGAGCTAAGCATGAGAGAAATCTATATTAATAAGGTGAGGAAGAAGATGCAGCACTGAGGTTAGGGAAAAATCAGAGAGGAAAAGACACTACTGTGTTATCACTGCAACAGATGAAGTATAGTATCTTTCAGGATATTGGTTCTTTTCATCTGTTATCAGATATGTGGGCATGGGGTTGTCCTTAATATTTATTCATTTATTATCCTCTTAACATAATGAAATCTGTAGTGATGGCCCCTCTTTCATTTCTAATATTAGTAATGTGTCTTTATTCTTTTTTTCTTTGTTGGACTGACTAGAGGTTTATCAATTGTATTGATCTTGCCGAAGAAACAGCTTTTGATTTCATTGATTTCCTTTATTGTTTTCCTGTTTCAATTTGATTATTTTCCTAATATATTTATTCAGTGCTACAAACATTCCTTTAAGCAGTGTTTTTTGCTGCATACTGCACATTTTGACAAGATGTATCGTTATTTTTATTTAGTTCAACATAGTCTTAATATTTCTTGAGTGCCGCTGGAGATACTAAGCTGGAGTCATGATGTGAGTATAAAGGTTGCTCTGTAATTTGCTAACTAACCCTATAGCTTCCCCCACAACCACGAACATCACAGCCGCAGCCACATCACTGACCACTGACCTGCCAGTCCCATGGCAACTTGCTATGTGTTTATCATGTGCCAGGCACTGTGCAATTGGAATTCATGCATACATCTCTCACCCTGCCTCTTTGCAATAGATATAACTACCTCTACTGTAGATGCAGAAACTTGCCCAAGTGCATAACTAGAGGAAGGTGGAATTAAGAATTAAATGTGTGCTTGACTCTCTCTGGATCCCATCTCCTTGTGTCTTTTCAAAGAACCTCACTCTGATTGTCCCATGTCCCTCTGTCTATGGACTCCTTCTTTATAACAAGTAGCATCAGACTTCCCTTGGCCACCACATTCCCTCAAAACACCTGCCCTATCTCTTCCTCTTCATGGCCAAACGTCTCAAAAGAGCAATTTATGCTTCCAGTTTCCACATCCTTTCTTTCCAGTCACTACCTCAGCCAGAGAATCTGGCTTTGCTTTCACCAAACCATTTGCCATGGATGAGCTTTTCTTAATTTCAACAACCACTCTTCGATTCTACTTGTTTGACTTCCCTGTAGCTTCAGGCACAGTGGGATACTCTTTCCTATTGGAGGCCCCTTTCCTTGACTTCATGGTGCTGCCACTTCCTCCTCAGTCTCCTTTTCGGGCCTCTCTCCTCTGCCCATTCAACTGTGGCACCGTCACTCGTACCCTTATGTCTTTCCTGCTGATGCCTGTTTGCTGGGGAATCTTGCCATTCTCAGGCTTTCAGCCATCATAAGTGCCCAGGACTCCCAAGTTCATGTCCAGAACCTGCTCTGGTCCTCCAAGCTTCAGACTGGACCAATCTATCACCAGGTGTGGATGTCTCCTTGAATGACTCAGAGACACCTCAAACTCTGCCTGTCAAAAAGAACTCATTACGTCTCCCTAAAGCCATCTGTCCTTTCAGTTTTTATGTTCTCATATGCTGAACAAGGGGGACAGTATCTTAAGTCTCCACTTTCTTTTCCTGAGAGTAAATTAAAGAAAATGTCAACCTTGAAATTATATCCAGCAATCAATCATAATTTATAAAGCATTGAGTTGATGAAACAACAGAAAGAAATATTTATTGAGCCTGAACTTCATGCTTCAGGGTGTTATTTCAAGGTTAATAAGAATTGTTATTATAGTATTTTAATATAACTTATTACTTGGAATCTTAAAAGATTTTCATTATAATATTTGAACTTTCCTTATAATTACACAAATCTGAAAATTCAGGGCAAACAAGTCATGAAAATACCTTTACATCTAATCCTTAGATTTGGAAGACACAAACTGACCTCCATTTTTGGCAATCATTTTCTAGAATATTCATAAAGAAATTTGATTTGATAGTAAAACTCTTACAAATGCATTCTGTAGTTTCGGGAGTTGAGTGTGAGAGGACATATTAATGAGAAGGGTTAAGTATTGACATGACTCTCTCAGGATTTCATCTTTCTTTTCCACATAAGGGCGGATTTTTAATATAATTGTTCTTTTTTGGAGAGAGATTAACTGATCATTTCTAAATTTCTTTTTTTTTCAAACCTTTGAGACTCTGATATTCTATTGCAACTATGTTAGTAATATACGGATAACTTATCAACTTTCATTTAGAGTTAAGAGAGTTGTTTATGTGGGAATAGCTCCAGATAAAATTGGAAAAGGAAAATTCTCTAGGTTAAGTACATTTAGAAATATTGCCTGTTAGAAAACACATAAAAAATGTATTCAGTGAAGGCTTTTTTTTTTCATTTACAAAATAAATACTGTAGAGCCAAGTACATTCTCTCAATGTATCCATTTACTAGAATGGTTGATTATATTGATTTTTTTCTCTACAAATTTCAATCAAAATACTATGTATTTTAAAAGTAGTGCTTCATAGTCCTGGCACTGTTCTTAAAATCCAAAGTATTCCTTTTATCTCTTTGACAGGTGTCAGCTACAGCTATATTAAAACTCTACATTTTAATCTTTCTGAGTTCAATTCTCTTGACGAATTTCTTCTTCCTCCATGCCTGGAGTTCTGACTTCAAAAGAAGCTTTTCATACACAGGAGAGATAAATGCCAGGAGAATTGAAGCAAGGATTGGGTCAAATAACATTGGAAACCCTTTCTTCCTGCATTTTGAGATGTGAAATGTGAACTCAAACCAAATAGTAAAAGAAGTACTGCACCACTCTTACTATCGGCTCTATAGGTTCTACCTGGGAGAAATTGTCTCTCTCAAGAAGACAAGTTCATAAACTGACTTTGCTGGGATATCCAATTCCTTCCAAGACCCATCCTATAAATGAAAAAAACCTGCAGATTAAACATTGTAGAATACCATGGACGGGTGGTTCCATTGCCAGATGCTGCATGAAGAATAAAATCTGGGATACTCAGTGTTTAGGAAGGGTGGGTATTTTTAGTGTCTGGAGCTACTGGACATTAGGAGGAAATGGTAAAGGAGGGACCCATTAGTGCAAACAGATTGGAGCATTTTCTGGGTCAGTCCCTGTTTTCCTCTCAAGGTGTGTGGCCTTTTCATGCTATGCTCCTGCCGGGTCCAGCTTCCCTTTCAGATCTGTGGTGTGTGGGAGGTGCACACACTCAGGCGTGTGCCTGGAAGGAAATGGACCTGCACTCACAAGGGCAGAGGAGTGCCTGCTGATATTTTTCTGCAGACATCTCTTAGTGCTTGAAACCTGAGGTTGCAACTTCAGATGGAGACTTCACACATCTCTGAAGCAGAGATTTTCTGCTTTAGGGAATAGGAATTTCACCCTCTTTTATGGGCTTACCACAGTGGAAACTGTTTTTCAGAATCTTGTAATTATAGAAGACTGCTGAGCAGCTGTTATCTAACCACAAGAAGAGCAAAATATGAAAAGGCTAGAGGACAGCTGAGGCCAGGTAGAAGCAAATGAGGCAAGTAGAAGGATTTTCAGACTGGATGAGCTCTGCAGTGGACATTCAGGCCTCTGCAATGGTTCCTGAAATTTTGGTCTTGTGCTTCTTGAGCCCACCAATGAGAAGATTGTATGGCAAAATATACATATGGTACAGCCTTCCTGAAGAATTAAGCAAAGGGAGTGTTACCTGGTTGGCCAGATCAGCTGAACCAGGTCCTGGCCAATGCTCCCTCTGGGTGCCTGATTGGCTAGGGGGTCAGGCCAGCAGGCTCCAGTCAAGGACAATTGTCACTGAAGCAGAATGAGATCCAACATATAAATTCAAACTTTCCAAGTCTAATTCCACTAGAATTACATTAAACTGTTGGGTCATTATAAAGAGTCATGACAAAAATAAAGTATGACTGGAGCTTCCAGATACTCTTGAATTACCTCTTTTTGTCAAGTCCAATACTCACATTAAACATGCATCTTTCTAGTTCACCTCTATTGCTCCTAAAATCTAAATGAAGTTACTCAGCTTGTCCCCTTGATGCCTGTTTCCACGGAAGGTGTAAGCAGGCAGGCTTTGTAGTCTGATAAGCCTGGCTCAAATCCTGCTCTTGAAACTAAGCAACATATTTAGCTGCCCTGCGCTACAGTTTACTCACATAGGTAAAGGATCAACTACTGCTGAGCTGTGTCCCCCCGAAAATCGTATGTTGAAGTAGTAACCCCCAATGTGAAATATTGAGAGGTGGAGGCTTTGGGAGGTGATGTGGTCTTGAGTGTGGATGAGTGCCCTTAGACAAGAAGCCCACCAAGGAGGAGCTTGTTGTACCCTTCCACCTCGTGAGGACGCAGAGACAAGACACCGTCTGTGGACCAGGAAGCAGCCCTCACCAGGCACTGACTATGCCAGTGCTTTGATCTTGGACTTCCCAGCTCCAAAACCGTGGGAAATGAATTTCTGTTCTTTCTAAGTTACCCAGCTTACGGTATTTTTGTTCCAGTCGCCTGAAGGGACTAAGACAACGACCAGCCTCACCTTCTCATCTTTTCCACCCTTTTTTGTTCGTTTTGGTAAGCATTACAAGTATTTAGCAAATGGTTTGGAAAATATTAAATGACAAATAAATACAAGCTTTATTTATTTATTTATTTAATGTCATTAGTTTTTTTTTTTTTTTTTTTTTTTGTGAGGGAGTCTGGCTTTGTTGCCAGGCTGGAGTGCAGTGGCATGATCTCGGCTCACTGCAACCTCTGCCTCCCGGGTTCAAGCGATTCTCCTGCCTCAGCCTCCAGAGTAGCTGGGAGTACAGGCATGCATCACCACACCCAGCTAATTTTTGTGTTTTTAGTAGAGACGGCATTTTACCATGTTGGCCGTAGCTGGCATGGACTACAGGCATGCGCTACCATGCCCAGCTAATTTTTGTGTTTTTAGTAGAGATGGCGTTTTACCTTGTTGGCTAGGCTGGTCTTGATCTCTTGACCTTGTGATCTGCCTGGCTTGGCCTCCCAAAGTGCTGGGATTACAGGCGTTAGCCACTGTGCCTGGCCAGTATTGTTGTTTTTACTATGGTTTGAATAATGTGGCTTTTTGCTATTGAAAAGAATATGAATGCCCTTAATGTAACCTTAGCAAACATAAGCTTCAGCTAATATTCAGTAGGATGAGATGCAATTTTGGATAAAGGTCAGGTTTGGAGAGAGGCCTTGAGAGGTGGGGTGAGAGAGGTTGAGAGGTTGTCCTCCTCTACCCAACAAACCCTTAGGTCCACTTGTGTCAGGGGGCTGGAGGTATTCTTTTGCTGTTTTTGTTTGTTTCACATTTCTTCCTGTAAAAATTCAGTTGAACTGGCACCCCTGAGAATCAAGCTTATCCCTCCACTTTATTTGCTTTGAGACAGTTGCACTGAAGAACTGAGGCATGATCACGGGGTCCGCAGTGGGATAGGAAGGATGCCATGGGGCCCACACCCCTTCCATCTTCCTGCCACTGTGGCTCAGGAAACAGGGTTATTTTCTGCAGAAAGATCCTTTCAAAATTGTGACTCCCAAAGCCAACAAATTCTGGTGGCAAGTATAAACCTAAAATAAAATTCTAAGGTCCCCCAACCTTCTGAATAGACCCTTTGTCTTGGCCAAAGGCATTCCAGGGTTAACCTGAAAATCTAGTTGAGGCCATGGTGGAAGAGGAGGTTGGACAGACTTCATTATATCCTACAGCATTAGCATCAACACAGACCTTCAGTCTGATAAGAAACATTTACAGTCTGTTCTCTCTGAAGGCTGCTCCTTGGAAACTTCACCTGCATGACAAAAGCTTGGTCCCCACAAGCCGTTTGTAATCCAGACATTCCTTTCTGCCGATAATAACTCTTCCAACCAACTGCCAATCAGAAACATTTAAAATCTACCTATGACCTGGAAGCCCCTGCATCAGGTTACCCCACGTTTCCAGATTGAACCAATGTAAATCCTACGTATATTGATTGGTGTGTTATGTCTCTTTAAAGTGTATAAAAGCAGGCTGTACCCGACCACCTTGGGCACATGTCCTCAGAACCTCCTGAGAATGTATCATGGTGCACCCTTAACATTGGCAAAACAAACTTTCTAAATTGATCAAGACCTGTTTCAGATACTTTTGGGTTCACGCAAGTCTATGGAATTTGAAGTTAAAAGCCTTTCCTACTTTTTTTTTGTCTTTTAAGATAAGGACAACTTAATGTGAAGAGAAAAAAGACATGACAAAGTAGGTGGGGTTCTTTATGACGGACACCAACATCAATGCTTGCTGGAAGAGGTTAGCTTCCAGGTTGTCACTTTGAAATCAAGCCAAGGAGGGCCCAGCTCAAGACAGATATGGGGGCATTTGCTTGGGATGGAAGAGACAGAAAAGTCTGAAGTCCAAGTGCTTGCCTGGGGGTTCTGTGTGTGTCAACCAGAGAGTCTTTGGGATTTTTGAAGATACAATGGTGTATTTTCCTATGACTCACGATTTAAGTCAAAATTTCTCCAAAACATTCCAGAATGAAGAGTGATCCAAGGGCTGTTCTCTCTGAAGCCTGCTACTTGGAGGCTTCAAAACTTGGTCTTCACAACCCCTTTGTAATGGGTTGTTTGTCTTTGGAATGTTTGTTAAAATGTATATTCCAAGCCTAACAAATGAGTATGTGCAGGGAAAGTTCCTGGGAACCAGCACATGGATGAGCCCCCAGGTTGATGCCTCAGTTGTGTGAGAGTGTGAGGGCGCCTGCCTGCCCCGAGCCTGCCTGCCCTGCCCATAGGCCTGAGACTTCTGTTCAGGCTTCACTCCTCACTCTTCCAGCTGTGACAGGTTCTTTCTTCTTAAGGTCTCTCTCTCTCTCTTTTTTTTTTTTTTAGATGGAGTTTCTCTCTTGTTGCCCGGGCTGGAGTGCAATGGCACGATCTTGGCTCACGGCAACTGCTGCCTCCCAGGTTCAAGCGATTCTCCTGCCTCAGACTCCTGAGTAGCTGGGATTACAGGCATGCACCACCATGCCTAGCTAATTTTGTATTTTTTAGTAGAGACGGGGTTTCTCCATGTTGGTCAGGCTGGTCTTGAACCCCCAACCTCAGATGATCTTCCCTCCTCGGCCTTCCAAAGTGTTGGGATTACAGGTGTGACCCATCACGCCCAGGCTCTCTAGGTCTCTTACCTCCTCATTTCCTCTCAACCCCATGGCACGAACTTTATTCTTGCTTCGGTCGACTCACATTGGGTTATTGCAATGGCTTCATAACCATCTCCCGACACCCATCCTTCTCCCTCTGCTTCATTTTGCACGCTGAGGCTGATTCCCATCCTATCACTCCATTGTTCATGTATACATCGAAGCCCCTTCACCTGGCATCAGAGGCTGTCTGCAGTCTGACCTCAGATTACCCTTCTTTACACTCTTTCTGATCCTTTACTCTGTACTAGAGGAGACTGCTATTATTTTTCCTTCTCCTTCTGTCTTCTCCTAATGTGACATTCACATTCTGTTATTTATATTGCTTCTCACTCCAATTAGAATTCCACCACCTCTTCTTAATGTCCCAGAATCCTTAAGCATTCAGCTACTAACACCATAATTGTCTCCTCAGATCATTTCAGTTAAAAAAAAAAGCGAAGGCCCCAGTCCTCACCCTTCCAGCCTATGTTTTGCAATGAATCTTTGGGTTGTTATGTGTTAACTAAAGAATAACAAATCAAACTTTTAAAGAATTAAAGTTAGTTTTATTCAGAAGCCTTACCGAAGACTGTAGATGGAGGTCTACAGCCCGGGAGCAGTTCCATCAGAGGCTCCAATGTGGTGTTTCAGCTCACAGTTTATGGACGGGTGGTGAAGGTTCAGTACGTGCAAAATCACGTCAAAGTCTGGGTGCCAGAGTATATCTGGTTATAGATGACTAAAATGCATTTAGTAATGAATTACAGAGGCATAGTCACTAACCCTGTCAAACGTTATCTTCTGTGTAGGAAAAGTCAAGGCTAGGGTCATTCATCTTTTAAGGAGCATAGTGACTCAGGCAAGTGGTGTGGGAGCCATGTGGTCCATCCTGTTTTGTCTTCAAAGCATCTTCCCAAAGAGCTGCATGGCCTCACAGATTCAGGGACTGTGTGAAATTATCTTGACAAGCACAAATGAGCAGACATGGCTTCTCGCACTTGTGACTGTCTCACATGTGTATTATGTAAGTCTCTCCCCCGCCGAACCCTAAGCCCCTTGAGAGCAGAAGTGTGTGCTGTGGTTGCATTTTCAGCCAGGACTAGCTCAGTTCCTGGCTCATGATGGGGCTTAATCCACTGGCCTGAACTCTTCTCCTGGACACCAGAGCCTTCTCCCAATTTCCTGCCCCATTGAGTAATAAATACGGTCTCTGGGGCCTCCATCCTATGCGCCTTCCTTTATGTATCAGGTGCCTCAAATTAGAACCAAGAATTCTCAGTTACATTATGTTAGGTGAGCCTAGAATATTGGTTTTGGTGGCTCTGAGAAAATCCCCTTCCACTGTCCAAGTGGCCAGGAATCCACTGAGTGTCTTTATATTCACAGCATGCTACCTGTCCATTCCATTCCCGCTTCCTTCCTTTATGCAGCATGTGCTTGAATGTGATGACAGTGAAGACTGCAAGGCTCTGGAGGGGGTGCAGAGATGAAGGGATGTGTGGTTTGTTTTCAAGGAACTCGAGTCTGGTGGGGGACAGAAAAGATGAATGCAAGAAACTTTAATGCGAGGTTGGTCATATCAGGCCAGCTTTACCTACCCATGATAGTTAGCTCTCTGAGGACGGGTGGCTCATCTGATTGGACAGAATCTCAGATGCAGGCTGTGCCAAGGCAAGGCTGGCAAGAGTCCCAGAAGTTCAGTTCACTTGCCCCTGGACTTCCTGCCCTTGCCCTGTTTGGGGAACAAGCCCCTGAGGCCTGCATGGCTGGCTGTCCTCTCTTCCGTTCATCTCTTTTGTCCTGAACACCAGGGTGAGTAGTCTTTGTACTTACCACTTTTCTCTGCCAACTCTGTCTGGACTCTGGACTAGAAACTGTGAGATCTGGGCTCTAGGGACAGAGCAGAAGGCAACAGAAGGCAACGATCTTCCTTGGGAGAAAGTCAAATCCCCTAATAAAAGCTTTCAGTGAATTTGTTCTGGAGTTTTGTAGTGACGAATACAGCGGTGCTTCTCCCCCATCATGCTGGTTCTTGCTAATAGCTTCCTGGAAAATTTTGGAATAGAGGTGAATGTTGGAGGAATTTGAGAACCTTGGTTCTAGGTTCTAGAAGGTTAACTTAATTCACCAATGCTGTAACGTAACCATTAGCAATAGAGCTTCATGGGAAAATTGCAATAAAAAATCAATTCTTTCTATTTTGTGTGTATTTTGCAGTTTACAAAGCCTTTCTACAGGCAGCAAAATAAAAGGGAACTTAGTGCTTGACTCAGAGAGAACTACTTTTCGAACGGTGTAAACATAATACATACTAGCTCCTGTCTTCAATAGTTTGAAGGCGTTTGCTGAAACTGTTTTTTTAAGTTAGAAAACAGCCTACGGTTTTGGAAGAGTCTATAATTGGACCCCAAATCACTTTTTTAAATAACAGACTTGTACATTCTCATAAAAGTAAAAGCCCTATATTATTGTTATCCAAATTTGTGTACCCAAAACACCAGTGTTTCAGACAATTAAATGTGACAGTTGAGGGTCACAGTTAAGGGCTTGAACAATTTTCCCTTTTGTTTATTCCCAGCTCAGATTATTTGTAAACTTGCATATGACATAACTTTAGGGGCCAAGTGTGGCAGAAGTGTCATCTTCCCATGACACGCGCCTTGTGTCCCTGGGGAGGGAGCTCCCGTGAACTGATGGAGATGTCAGACTGTGTTACAGGAGTGTCAACAGCTGCACATTTATCACTGCGCCATAGGCTCTCTCAGACTGAAAGATTTCACTGTTTATTCACAGCAAAGACACTTAATTAATGGGTAGGCCTAATCGGGCTGTCTTATTATTTGCAGGGATACCAGTGTGGCTTAGCTCAACTGATGTGCAAACAAACCATCCTTGAGGAAGCTTTAATTAATAATTCTGAGCCAGGCTTCCGAGAGGCCATGTCTCCCAGCTCTGGGGTGATTTACAGCGTCTCCTTTGCCATGTTCTCATGTCCCCTGCATGTAAATGAGTGACCACCCTAGCAGATCTTTCTTTTTCGACTGCACTGGGGTGTGTTTATTACAGAAACGTTCTTATCTTTGCACAGGACTTAATGGAGATAGATACACTGAATGGGAAAATTCCTGGTGTCTTTCTTAGATATGTTGCCATTTAGAAACATTTACATACACACACCGAGCACCGACTAAGCTAAAATACGGAGAGAATTCATTCGCTTTAGTGAATCCAGAAGTGAATTAGGCTTAGTGCTCATTCGAGGCTCTCAATCTAGTTGGGAGTCATATATTTAAACAAATAATTATAATACAAGGTCAATTACACTCCACGCTAACCCAGAATCAGAAAGCCTACAGAGAGAATAAGAAAGGGAGAAATAAAGTACTGCTGGCTGCACCAGGGAGGCCCCTTAGAGTGTGTGCATGTTGGGGGAGGGGGTAGTTAGTATGTTGGAGGATAAGAAGAATGGTTTGAAAGAAAGACAATTTTGAGAGCAACTTAGAGGGCGTGAGGCTGGGTGCAAGGGAATCAACTAGGAGACCCTTGCAACTGATTGTTTGAAGGAGTTGTTATCTGGGTATAAAATAGAGTCTGAGCACTGGAAATACAACAGGGGGTATTATATTCGAGAGACTTCCTGGAGACGAATCAAGAGATTTGACAAGGGATTGAATGTGGGGGTGAGGACAGCAGCGCTATGACTGATTGGGAAGAGGTTTCCTTACTGTTACTCAAAACAGAGCTTCAGAGTTTGGTGGGGTAATTTTTTTTCTCCTGTAATTTTTTGATAATACCACTGTATTACATTCTTGCATGTAGTGTAGCTGCTGGCAGACTCATATCAAGCAGTTTTCTGTTGTTTCCTAAGTAGAGATGCTTGTCAACTTAAGGTGGACTTATCTCCCTATAAGCTCATATTGAGTTGAAAATATTCTAAGTGGAAAATATTGTAAGTCAAAAGTGCATTTAATGTGCCTTACCTACCGAACATCATAGCTTAGCCTAATTTGCCTTAAACATGCTCGGAACACCTACATTAGCCTACTGGTGGGCAAAATTATCTGGCAACACAGTAAACTGTAGAGTAGCAGTTGTTTACCCTCATGATCCTGTGGCTGCCTGGGAGCTGGGGCCTGCTGCTGTCACCCAGCATCTAGAGAGAGTTTTGTACGGCATGTGGCTAGCTTGGGAAAAGATTAAACTCAAAATTTGAAGTACAGTTTTTAATTAATGCCTGTGGCTTTTGCACCATGAAAAGTTGAAAAATCTTAAGCTGAACCATGATAAATCAGGGGCTGTCTGTATATGTATATATATCTATCTGTGTATCTGCTGTCTGTCTTTATATCTATCTATCATCTCTATCTATCATCTATCTATCTATCTATCTATCTATCTATCTATCTGTCTATAATCTATATCTACCTATCATCTATATCTATCTATCTATATCTATCCATCTATCTATCTATCTATCTATCTATCTATCTATCTATCTATCTATCATCTATCTCTATCCTATCTATGTATCTATCTATCCATCCATCTAATTTTTCTCTGAATGACTTCAGATCTTTAAAATCCTTATTCTTAAGTTTCACTCTGATATCTTGGTGTGAACCTTCCTTATCCTGCTTAAAATTCAAGAAATCTCAAGATCTGAAATTTCATTTTTAGTTCTGGGAAAAGCTATTACTATTATTCCTTCCTTGATTTTTTTCTCTATGTTTCAAGTTTCTATTAACTCGGTGCAGCAAGTCTATTTCTATATGCCACGTATTTGAGCTTTGTTCTCTGATATCTACTAGATTCTGTCCTCCTGAATCCTGGGACAGTTTCTCCACCAATTTTTCAGCTCTCTATTTCATCCTGGTGCTATCTGTTACTTTCCCCATCAAAGCATTCTGTAAATTATTACATGTTTTAATAGCAATTATTTTCCCAAATGGTCTTTGACTTCTGCTTTTTATTACTGCTATCTTCTTGTCTGCCTCTGAGGATAAGGATTCTCCTATTTTAAATTCTTGATGTGTCTCTTCCATGAATTCTACCTAAGGTGGTGTTTGGTGTTTGGATTGTGGTCCTTCTTTATAGTGGTGGCAAGAGCTCAAATATTGGCCTGCATGCTGTGTTCCTCTGGATGGAATTCCAAACTCACCAGGGCAAGGAAAGCTTCACCTTGGAATTGGCGCATGTTTTTGCCTCAGACTCTGCCCTTCATTTCTCTCAGGTCCTATAAGCCCTCCTCAGACAGAAGACAATTTTCTTTACAGTGTAATTTTTGGGACTGGTGTCAGAAGCTACTGACACTATTCAATTAAAACAGAAAGGGAGGAACACATGGGGCAATCAGGTCTCTTCATGGCAGTCCATCTCTGCTCTTATGTTTGTTGACTCTGAACTAACAGTTTCTCTGGGATTCCCATGGGAAGACCCATAAGAAGACTTCTGTTTCCTCTGTTACTTTCTCAGTGTGAGCCTGTCCATTTTATAATGAGGAGGCATTACTCACATTCCTGGTCCACTACTGGAATACATACCTATTTGCACTGTTTGACTGTTTTCCTTGCGTGTGCATGTGAGTGTCTGTTTTAATCTGTGTGTATTCTGTCAGGAAGACATATGAATTGATGAGAGAAGTAAGACCATCTTCAGCTGAAGTCCTAGATTTTACATTTGAAATGAGTTCCTTGGGGATTCTGATGGGATTTTGGATTTGAGGCCTATGGATCTATCTGATTTCATTACCATAAGATATAATCTCTTTTAAAATATATTATATGAAAAACTTGGTCGGGTGCAGTGGCTCAGGCCTGTAATCCCAGCACTTTGGGAGGCTGAGGAGGGTGGATCCCTTGAGGTCAGGAGTTCAAGACCAGCCTGGCCAACATGGCGAAACCCCGTCTCTACCAAAAATACAAAAATTAGCTGGGCATGGTGGCACACGCCTGTAATCCCAGCTATAGCTTCGTGGCTGAGGCACGAGAATGGCTTGAACCTGGGAGGCAGAGGTTGCAGTGAGCTGAGATTGTGCCACTGCACTCCAGCCTGGACAACACAGCGAGACTCTGTCTCAGAAAAAAAAAAGAAAGAAAAATTCGATAAAGCAGTTTGTGGTTCTGTTGAATATTTGTTAAGCTGATTTCTACCTTGTTGACGACCTGCAAATATACTTCTGCTGGCTAAAGTTTGAAATTGCCAGTCATCAATATTGGTTGCTAATGATGTAATTATCCAGCTTCTCAAAATTTGCTGACTCCTTTCACACGTGTTATTATTTGCTGAAAGCAGCTCATTTTGAGTGGCTGTGGTTTAGATTTGTTATGATTTTATCACCTAATTGTATTATCATTCTGGAAAAGTAATCATTAAATATTTAATGTCATGTCAAAATCTGTAGAAGAAATTATGCAGAGTAAGTTCACACTTTCTGGTAGCTCACAATTATAAGGCAATTTTGATAGTCACACTTTTTACTTTTTAAGTGATGCTAATTAGGATCTGGGACAGTCATACATTAATATGCAAAAGGTATGCACTTTTAAGATATGGTGAACTCAACTATGTAAGGGGTAATTCGGAATAAGCAGCAGTTGCCAATTGTCTTAATCAGCTTTCGAACATCTAGTTCCACTACACCGTTACTATATCTTATTTGAAAAAACTTCCTAGAATTATTGCATCCAACAGTTTCTGAAATTTAAGATAATTAGGATTAAGTTGGGCAGAACTGTGTTGTTTCAGTGTGGCATACCTTTGAGAGTTACTAAAAAAGTCTATCATCAACTTAAGCTTTGGAAATGGTCTGCTTTCGTTCTTTGTAGATTATAAGGAACTTTAGAACTCACTTCTTTATTCATCTTTGAGCAATTCCCTAGAGAGATACATTTTTCTCCTTTTAAAATTTGCTTCACAAACTTTTTTCTTTGAAATCTGAAACTCTGGGAGAGTTTTAAAGAGTCTAGTGTCAATGCACCGGAGTCATTTGCAGCTAAACCAGATTTCTCTCTTTACAGCTGAGCCACTTAACACTCAGCCATGTCTTCCCTACACTCTGGGCTCCGGCAACCCACTTCCAAAAAGGATCATACTTTTTTTTTTTTTTTTTTTTAACTGGGCAATTGTATGTCTACTTCCCTTTGATAGAAATCACCTTTCTATTTCTCTTTAGTACCAAGCATTCTTCCTGCGGGTCTCTGGGTGATAGTGGCTCTCCTGGGACGTGCCCCTCGCACCTGCTCCCTGCAGGCAAGGCTCCTGCTCTTGTTCCTCCAGCACAGTGCTTGTCACAGCACACATGTGACTCCTAACCACCCATCTTTCCTCATGAGCTCTGTGCTCTGTGAGGAAACCGATGGCGTCTATATCTCACTGTTATATTCCTATAACCCAACCCAGGGCCTGGCACATTGTAGAGACTTAAAAAATATATTTGTTGAATCTAAAACTGCTTTTTTTTTTTTCCCCAGCTAGGAAAATAGCATGACATGCCATCAGTGTTTACTTTCCCTCTACAAAGCTGAGGCTATTTCAATCTCTGTCTCTCTTCTTTCCACTTCCCCCTCCTTCCCAGACAGTCGTATTCATCTTATTATTACCGTTAATGAAGCAGTAGAAGTAGTTCTGAAACTGACTAATTGTCCAACGGGTTAAATGCAGAAGCTTCGTAGAGGCTGAATTCTAGGATTGGGTGATATGTGACATCATTTTCAAAGCCACCCAGAGGCTCACTGGCTCACCTCTGCCTGCACAGTGCCGGCCACGGAGCAGATGAAACCTGGGCTGTAGAAGCGCAAATCTAAGCTCCTGTCTGAAGCTGGGGATACTGCCTGTCCACATATCCTACTGGAAGAAGTGGGTCTCTGAGCAACCCCTGACATCAGAGAGGTGGTTATGCTGATTTGCTCTATATGTCCAGGGAAGAGAGAAAGACCATAGACACCCATGGGTATCTCTGCATACCGTGAAAGTTCGCGCTGACAGCTGAGGGAGGGCGCCATCAGTTGTGAGATGAATCCTGGTGACGGGGATCTTCAGATGTGAAAATGAAAAGTGTATCTTAGAGCAGGGGAGTATGGTATCCAAAACCTTTGCGTTTCTCATCTGGAAAATGTTCAGATTGGAGAAAGTCAGTAACCATTTTCTTTAACCAGTTAATACATTCATATTACTTGGCAGAAAATAGCCTTCAAAGTATTTCCCAACGTTTCGAGATGTTTAGTAATCTTATTTTTTAAATCGCAGATACCTTAGTCAATGTCTGTTGAAAATGTAAACCATTCACCTTTATTTGATTTGTTATGCAACCTAAGTTTTAGTTCCATTACCAACACTCGAGCTTAAATTCCTAGTATGGTAATAATTTAATCAACTCAATGTATGTGATTTAAATTCAATGTATGTGTTGACTAAAACTCATATTTGAAGTTTCCTTCTTGATTCTAAGTTCTGAAATTCTGAACAGGGCCTATGTGCTGTATCTGCTGTTATGAAAAGTTGCCATTGTGCCATGGTGTGACCTGAGCCCAGCATCCAGCAGGGCCTGGCACCCGTGGGGGTAGATAGTGCACTTTTGTGCATTTTTTACATAGGTATAATAACGAAGAGAAAAAAAGGACTTGTGCAGGGCTACAGGCTTTCTAACAATGATACATTCACGAGGATTTTGAATATATCACAGGGAAACATTTGGAAAAACAATTCCTGAATCCTATAAAAAATGAGTTAATTGGCCAGTGCAAGTTTATGTGTTAGTGGCCTCTAGTTTGCTAAATTGTAACAAACAACACTGTCCTGTGTATATTTTTTTATTATTTTCATTTCTGAAACTAGTCAAACTTTGTTGAAATGGAAAGGTTTGTAAAATTCCTTAAGCACTTCCATGAAACAGCTTGGTATGAAAGTCATTGATTTCGTTCCCACCTGCAAATTTACAGATAAGGAAGTTTTGGCCCATGAAAGTTAAGAAACACACCTGAGAAGTGAGGGTGTACAGTTCTATGGTTCTCACTTTTGAATCAGTGTTTTCATACATGTTTGTATGCAGGCGTGTGTGCATGTGTGCATTTGACTGTTTATTTTCCTGAATACCATGCCCATGCCCAAACCTGTACCATCTTATCTATCTTTGCTTTTGTTATAATGACTGACTTTCTTCAAATGACCAGAATAACCAGATATTAAATTTATGCTTTAGGTGCTTTTCATGAGAACTCCCTGTGCTATAATAAAAATTTGGAAACGTCTGCATATTTGGACTAAATATGTGGATATTTTTGGCTATTGAATGATCTTCTATTTTTACATATTTGATTATGTATTACACTTATAAAGATGCCCAGGCAACAGAATTTTGCTAGAAGAGAATATTTATTATGTTATTTTTATCACAGTGAAATAAATGTTTGTTTTAATATATAATGCATGCTGATTTTAAAAAAATACAGAAAAATACAAAAAGAAAGAAATAGTGCCTAAATACATACCACCTTAAGATAACTACTGTGGCTATTTTGGCAAATATGTCTGCACACATCTCCATGTGTATGTGCACACATGCGCAATTTTTCACAAGTGGCACTGCATCATGGGAGTTTTCCTGTTTTAGTGCCTTTATTCTTTCTGTGTTGTTTATCTTTGTTCCTTCCTCCCTTCATCCAGCTTTTGGCCACCCCAGTGCCCAAACCTGGAACATTTGTCCTTGACTGCTGCTGCACACACCCATGCTGACATCCAAACGTACGAAGGCAGGTCGGGGTGAGGACCAATGTTTTACTAGACTGCAGTGTATTATATCCATCTCGCTTTTCTTGCTAAATAAAAATTTCTTTAAAATTCTTCAAGTTCGCTGGGTGCAGTAGCTTAGACCTGTAACCTCAGCACTTTGGGAGGCCGAGGCGGGAGGATTGCTTGAGCCCAGATTTTTGGGATCAGCCTGGACAACATGGTGAATCCCCCATCTCTACAAAAAATACAAAAAAATTAGCTAGGTGTGGTGGCATGCACCTGTAGTCACAGCTACTTGGGAGGCTGAGGTGGGAGAGTCACCTGAGCCTGGGAAGTCGAGGTTGCAGTGAGCTGAGACTGAGCCACTGCAGTTCAGCCTCAGTGATAGCAGTGAGACTCTGTCAAAAAAAAAAAAAAAATTCCAGTTCACAGGTAGAGATTTAATTAATATATTCATTTTAACAGCTCCATGATATTTATGTAGACTTACCACTGAGCACTTGCTTTGTTTCAATTTATTTATTTTTGGCAGTTACTTATATAGGTCTCGACGAGGGAACAAGGGCATCACCTCCTTTGATGTCCGCTTTAAGTGTCCTCCTCCCTCAGCCTGTAAACTGACTCTTCATCTGTAGGAATATTTACTTTATCAAAGTCTAAGTACTTGTGAATCTAGAACATCAGATTACTAAGGGAAGAAAAGGCAGAAAGCCTTAAGAGCAGACTCCCCAAACCTACCTAATTACAGACATAGAAAACATGGAAAACAATATTAATGCTTCTGCTGTTTAATTGGCGACAGCTCACCAGCATTTTATGCATACTTCATATTTATTCTGTTTCGGCTATATTACCATGTAGTGAGATTAATAAATTTTTTAATGAGAAGTTATATTTCTGGGTGATGCATTAAAAGATGAACAGAGTACACTTGTGACAGCTCATAAATGCTAAATTAGTGCAAGAGAGCTCTCTAAATTTAGCTACTAGTTGAGTTTACCCCTATGTAATAAATCTGGCAATAACCCTGAATCTCATCACGGCACTGAATCAATGGCAGTAAAATAGTAACTTCTCTTTTTAGTGCCTTTGCAAATTCAAGGCTGGAGGCTAACACTTTAGTCAGCTCATAGCTCTGCTTCTTATATTTTAACTATAGCAAAGGACATGCTACCTGGGATCTGTGGGTTCTCCCAATTAACCAGTTTTCTCTCTTCAATCCCTTCTGTCTGTCCGTCTCTAGAGAGGGAAGGAAAGCAACAGCAGAGCTCTTTTTTGGGAAAAATTTGAAGTTGATTTCTCCTTAGTTTTGGAGGATTGTTTCTGCAGTGCCTTCATTTCCAGGTGCCACGGAGACTTAACGTTTGGGCACAAGGACTGCAATTGTAACTCATTATACTGTTCCTTAAAAAATGCTCAAGACTAGGAAGTCTTCGGCAGGGATGAAAAGGAATTATTTTTCTTCTTTTTGTTACTGAATCAGTGACAGCAACAGAAGCTATATTTACAGACACAGGTGATTACCTTTTGTTGTTGCCGGCTGCTTTAAAAATGTATGAGTGCTTCCCAAAATACACAACTTTTGCAAATACTTGAAATTAACATTTGTGAAAAAGACAAATTGCAGATTGAGTGTCAAGCCTACCAACCTGTAAAGTACTTGAAAGTAAATTGCACTTAGGAAGGAAGAAAGCCTTCCCCCCACTCTTGGGAGTGGTTTCTCAATAACTGTAGAAATTGATAGTAATTTTCCTAGGAAAAGGAAAGCTTAAATTAAGGTGAACATGGAGTGAAATAACTCATAACAGTAAAAGAGCAAGAGAGACCTTTTAACCTGCCCCCCTTACGGCACATTCCCTTACTAGCAAGGCAAGTGTGTTCCTGATGAAACTCACTGTGTCCCTCCCTGGCAGAGCAGGCCTACATCAGGTGGCAGATGTAGGCTCTGAAATACATCCATATAGGAGATTTCAAATTTCCCTGTAGAAACTCAGGATAGTCTCCAAAGAAATGGAATGACAGGGACCTAACCAGAGCACTCATGTATACAGAATGGGTGTTAGAAACAGAAAGGAGGTAGAGATTCCAGAGTTACTTTTCATAGAAAATTAGCTTGAAATGCTTTCTTCCAATCTGGAAACTACTAGTCAGACAATTTTAGGGGCCAGAAAACCTTTAGGTCTAAATCAAGAGGAAAAACAAAAAGGATATTGGGGGAGAATAATGGTGTGTGAGTCAGTTTTGCATTGCTCTAAAGGCATACCCGAGATTGGGTAATTTATAAAGAAAAGAGGTTCATTTGCTCACAGCTCCGCAGGCTATACAGCCACGGCATCACCATCTGGTCAGCTTCTATGAGGCCTTAGGAAGTTTACAATCATGGCAGAGGGCGAAGGGAGAGCCACTGCATCGCATGGCAAGAGAAGGAGAGGTGCCAGGCTCTTTAAACAACCAGCTCTCTCATGAACCTGTAACCATGGGGAGGGGACCAAGCCATTCATAAGAGATCCTTCACCATGACCCAAACACCTCACACTGGGTCCCACCTTCAACACTGGGGAACAAGTTCCAACATGAAATTTGGAGGGGACAAGAATCCAAACCATACCAAATAGTGAGGTTAAATTTCAATTATTCTATATACTTCCTGCTGCTGTATGGCTTCCAGCTGTCATGGGGCTGGAGCCCCATGTCTACATAACTAGGTACTTACAGTTGTTCTGGGTACCTATTTTAAGTCCACATTTGGTTGATTCCTTTCTGTATGCAATATTGTCTGCAAATAGTGAGTTTACCCAGAATTATTTCCTCATTGACAATAAATCAGAATGCCAGCATGTAAACATCTGCTATCTTCCACTTTCATTCTGCCTTAGAAAAAAAATTTTCTGTTTGCATGACTCATTAATTTTTGGGAAATGTTAAATGGAAGCACTGTAAGAGAGATGACATCCATCCTCACTCCACTTTCAAATCTGAGAATGACTGCTAAATATCTAGATTTATGCACACATATCCAACAGTGTGATACCTGTTGATTTCTTTACGCTATCTTTATCCCAGAGGTATCAGAGGAAACAGTGTCCACACTTCCTCCTGAAATGTCGGAGAAGTCATTTTGCCTAAAGGACTCTGGCAAGGACAGTATCCCTAAGGCATTATTTATTCAATAAAAACCCATGGGAGAGAAGTGAACGTGGTGCTCAGCATGAACACAGATGGCCTCGTTCAAGGTTGGGCGTGTAACTCACTCAGCCAACCCAGTCATTCTTCTGTCCTGGAAAAGCCCTGGGGATTCTAACATGTTAATAAAACACAATTCTAAGAAAAACGATTAAAATGTGTTCATTGCATTTCACTTTAAGTTTAGCTTTAACTGGGCAGGAGATTTTTTTTTTTCTGTGTAATTATTAGTTTTTATTATGTATTTGTACTGCATCAATCATTCTGAAAGTATAATGGACAAAGCAAATGGATTTCATAGCCAAAGAGTATAAGTCATGTAAGCATATCCGCTTGGCTTAAATAAAATGGTAAAAATAACTCTGGGGTTTGGGGGCTGGGGAAGATAAATGATGAAATTTTAATCCATTGCAATCCTTCATGTAATGCAGTGCAAGAAGCAATTCATCTACTTACCCATTTCCACATGGTTTATCTGCTAATACCTTGGTATTTAAAGGAGAGTATTAGATGAGATCAAAAGAGAGAGGGTATAGATTACATTTTCTCCTCTTAGACCTGAGAAGCCCGCCGGAAAGCTTTTATAGATGTGGGTGTTTAAACCAGGCAAGACCATGAAGTTTGATGGAATAAGGCAGGAACTTGCAGTCAGGGGACCTCTGCAGTCCCTCCTTCCAGCTGCCCATTTTCTCAGACTGAGGTTTTGGCTTCAGTTCCCCCATCTGTGTGGTGGAGTCAGAACGCCAACCCTGTCCAGCTCAGATTATGTTCATAGGACATTATATCCGTACACAGATATGGGACAACAACATACCTACATTAAAAAGCTTTGCAAACTATGAAGCACCTTGTTAACATCAGGGAAACTAGGTTATGCCAAGAATACTCTTCAGAGGAGATATGTTTACAGTTTTGTTTTTGAAATCTTGGTTTTCCTCTGTTGCATCCACTCAGGAAACTAGAAAAGAGAGAAGCTAAGTCATACAGACACGAGCAGAAAGTAGCCTGACCTCTCTGTGTTCATCCTGATCCTCTGTGCATGCAAAATCCACAGATTCCAAAACCCAAACGAGGGCTCACACGAGAAAGAATAAATATTTATATGAAGTTTCATTCATTATATTACTTGGGTTTCAGTTCATTATATTGCTTGTATCTTGCCTAGCACAGACCTGAACACGTAAACCCTTAGTGTAATATAATAATTTCTGAATAGAATATCTTTCTTTTTTTTTTTTTTTTTTTTTGAGACAGAGGAGTCTCGCTCTGTCACCCAGGCTGGAGTGCAGTGGTGCCATCTCGGCTTACTGCGAACTCCACCTCCTGGGTTCAATCAGTTCTCCTGTCTCAGCCTCCCGAGTAGCTGGGATTCCAGGCACACGCCACCATGCAAGGCTAATGTTTGTATTTTTAGTAGAGACGTGGTTTCACCATATTGGTCAGGCTGGTCTCGAACTCCTGACCTCAGGTGATCCACCCACCTCAGCCTCCCAAAGTACTGGGATTACAAGCGTGAGCCACTGCACCCAGCCTAAACAGAATTTCTTAAACATAACTTCTGGTTTCATCTGATATATCTATAAAACCAGCTTTAAAACACCATTTAATTAAATTCCTGGTTTTGCTTTAATCCAAGACCTTAAACATCTTTTCCCTGGTTCATACAAGGTATAGTTGTATGTTTACTAGGAGGGAAATATTACCTCCTCCACATTTGGGAAACTGAGATGCAGGGCCGTAGACCAATTTGCCCTCTGAATTCCACAACAGGATGAACAGTATCTCTTAGTTTCTTTTTTATTTATTTATTTTTTTTTTTTTGAGACAGAGTTTGTTCTTGTCGCCCAGGCTGGAGTACAATGGCGGGATCTTGGCTCACTGCAACCTCTGCCTCCTGCACGTCCAGCTAATTTTTTGTAGTTCTTTGAAATAAAGACGGGGTTTCTCCATGTTGGTCAGGCTGGTCTTGAACTCCTGACCTCAGGTGATCCACCCACCTCAGCCTCCCAAAGTGCTGGGATTACAGGCGTGACCCACTGTGCCTGGCCTTAGTTTCTTTTTTCTAAGGAAATAATAGCCAGCCACTTTCCTTGAATGTCTTTCTCACCTGGGTGATTCCACTCATAACACTCTTTAACCTAATTGCTGTGGTCCTTGAAAAGTAGGCCTCGCTTACATTAATCTCCCAGAGCACACCAAATTAACGCTGCTATTTAAGTCTGTCTATTTCAATCTCAACATTTACAGATAGAAAAAAGGCATTAACTTGCTCATTTTATTGAATTTGTCATACATGGCGGGGAGGGGCACTTGAAGGGAGCTTTAGGAGAAATGATTTAGAAGAGTGATCGGGTCCTTTGGGAAAGTGTTTAACAATTTACCAAAAGTCAGGCAAATATGTCTTTTTGATACCTTGTACAGTTAGGTACTTACATTAGATTTTTGAAGCGCAGGTATACATCAAAATAATAATTAGAAAGGATCTCACAAAACATAAGCTACTCTATTGCCTGTCAAATTGGTAACTCTGCCTTGAAGTGAACAGAGTAAAAATTCATGTGCTAATCTTCTAGCCTTTGTTCTGCATCTTTCTGCACGGGTAGGAAGTGATAAGATCCTCTGTTGTTAGCAGTACTAAGGGCCATATAAATATATGTAGATAATTAAGGCTAAATCTTGTATTAAGAAAAATTCCAATTATCCTCACAAGGACATGTTTCAAATCTTCTACCCAAGTGCCGGAAGCAAGTCCAATTATCTGAATATAATTGTTAGACATTATTTGATAAACATGAGGATAGTGCCTGTGACTGCATGATTTAAAAACCAGCAACCTCTGCTTTTACCTATTTAAGTGTTTAGATTTTCAGCCAAATGAATTTTTTCTCCAATTCTTTCCAAAATGACTTTAGAGAAGGTGTCATATATTTTTATTAAAGGACCCCTGGAGACAAGTGATTACTATGGTCATGCATATATTCAAATTGTATATTATGGAGTCGAATCTGCTTACACTGAGTTAATTTAAACGATTATGACAAGAACTTCTGGGAAATATGTCAGCTAAATTACGTGTTTGCAAACTCCTCTGGCTCTTCTCTTCAACCCACAAAAATAATGTCATCAGACATGAATGCAAGGAACTAAGAATAAAGCAAAATTCCTCACTCTCAAACTGAAAACTTGAAAGCATACAGTTTGGATGAGTGGAGAGCAATCCGGACACACCATGGTGCAGTGTTGAGGTCGGGCAGGGGTTCAATGCAGGAGGTTCTGAAGACCCCCATGGACCCCCTAACTAGGAGGGAGAGACGCACAGACCACGGGATGGGAAGGGGTACCCTGTGCTGTTGAGTTTCCCTGTGTAGGATGTCAGCAGAGACAGTGGAAGAAAAAGAAAACAAATATAGCAAATGTAGCATAGATTTTTTTTCTTTGACTTGGCTTCCAAAGGAAGAGAGCTAAGATTTGCTGTAATTCTTTGCAGTCTCAGATCACAGGTGACCAGAGAAAGAATACACACTGACTCGCAAAACCAAATGCCCGTAGGTTTTGGGGCATTACTAATTTCTTTTGTCATCCACCAGCTTCACAACTCAAAAGCAGGGCAACACATTCAAACGTGGGGGTTGATTTTCCATGGGAAAGGCCAATCCCTCACCTGGGAGCCGACCTATGGAGCAGAATCTCAGTTAATTCTGAGGAAAAACACAGAAACAAAGCCTCTCAGGCCCCAGCTGTCTCCTGGCCTAGAGCCCCTCAGGTAATTACACAGCTGGACAGAAAACACGCAGCATCAATACTCAGTCCTCCAAATCAAGAGCTCAGGGGAAGACCTCAATGGGGCTTCATGAGAAGCTGCAGAAGGATTCACGAGGGTTTTACTTACACTAAGTTCAGGCAAATAGCAGAAGCAGGTAGACCCCCCCCCCACCCCCATGAAAAGTGAGTAAACAAAACAAAACAAAAAATTAGGGCTGGGCGTGGTGGCTCACTCCTGTAAACCTAGCACTTTAGGAGGCTGAGGCAAGAGGATCACTTGAGAGCAGAAGTTCAAGATCAGCCTGAGCAACATAGCAAGATCCCATGTCTACAATAAAAACAAAAAAAATTAAATTAGCCAGGCATAGTGGCATGGCTACTCAGGAGGCTGAGGCGGGAGGATTGCTTGAGCCCAGGAGATTGAGGCAGCAGTGAGCTATGATGACAACACTGTACTCCAGCCTGGGTGACAGGGCAAGACCCTGCCTCTTAAAAATAAAATAAAAGCATTCAGAAGGGATAGGTTTAAAAATTCCACATTAAAACAAACAAACAAACAAACAAACAAACAAATGAAAATACTCTGCAAGTGATAGATGAGGAAACACTTCCCAGGGAACAGGAAAACCATTCATCTACAACAGATTCTTAAAGAAATTAGATGACAACAAAATAATAGTTTAAAAAAGCCTGACATAATTGAGTTAAGTAACTGTGGAGAAATCCACAATGGCATGGAATTTAAAAATGAACCGGAAATGACTAATAGTGAAACCAACAGAAAACTGCATTGGTGGATGGGGTTCTCTTGACAAAACCACACAAGATGCAAAGAAATGAGAAATGATAATTAGAAGAATATCAACAATAGAGATTTAAATACAGAAACTTCTGGTGATTGACAATCAACAAACAAATCCAGTGATAAAACAAAAACTATTTAGATATATTAGAAAAAATAATGTCTTTTGAAATAAAGGTACATGAACTTTTGTATGTTAAAGGAATTCATCATATTCCAGAATAATGTGATAAAGTTTTCCAATACCAAGACATATTCTGGTGAAGCTTTGGAAGATTACAGAAAGAATCCCACAAGCTACCAGACAAAGGAAGCAGGTAACTTACTAATGTAAAAATAATAATAATCATCAACATCATCTAACTACAATGTTCTTACCAAATTTAAATTTTAGAAAAGGATGAGAAATGTCTACAAATTTAAGAGGAAAATAGGTGTAGTCTCATTCCTCCACCTCCTCCACTCCAATAATTTGACTCACGTATTTTGGAAATTTACAGAAAGTACAGGTAAAGTTATAAAGACACACCAGAGCAGAACAACAACTAAGTAATTTGGGAGGAGCGTTGGGTACAGCTGCCCAGTTGGTGTGAAGGTGGCACGACGGAGGAGTGAGAAAGAGGAAACAGTATGAGAAGATGCCTTGGGCTGGGGAGAGGCTAGAAAGCCCAGGTGCTCTAGTCAGGGCTGGGTGCTGAGGGGGCCTACAGGTGGGCTCTCCAGGGCTCTGCCCTCATGGGCGAAAGCAATTCCCACCTCTTTCCTTCCTTGACCTGCAGCACTCCCAATTCCAAGTTCTGGCCCAGAGCATCAGCTTATCTGACTTGAATGGGTCCCCTTCCTTGGCTAGTGACTCCTGGGCAGGCACATTGATTGCCCCTTGGTCCTGGAGAAAATCAGAATGCTGTTTCTAGAAGAGGAGGAAATATAGGCTTTCTTGTTGCCTGAACCAGATGTTTTGTTCAGACCACAGTGTGATACATCTGTGAATGCATACCAGAAGAAGAAATAATTAAGATGTCCTCAACTCTTTGAGCAGGTTAAAATGCTCTCCTAAGAAAAAGCAAAACAAAATTAAAAAACAAACAGGGTAGAAAAAGGAATACAACTGTAAAATGGATTGTGTAGAAGATAATTATAATGAGAAAGATAAATATATAAGGTATAAAATATACTGACAGCTGTACTCAGGGCACCTTATCAGAAAATAAGTTATTTATAATAATAGAAAGAGAAACCAATTAGTTAAAAGGTATAAAGATAGCAAAATGGGTACACACATACACAATCTGGTTCTTTAGGAGAAACAACGAACAAAACAAGATACAATAAATGATAAAGGAACAGAAAGAACCACTAATTAAGAAAAAAATCTCTGTACAATTCTAAACTAAAATCTGGATGAAATATAAAAACATTAAGAAAATATAATTATCAAAATTGACTTAAGAAGAAATAGACAACTCAAGCCAAATTGCATCAAAAAAATTTAAAACATTGTCAAGGAGCCAACATTCCAGAAAAATGTGCCAAACACAGATGGTTTCATAGGTGAATTTTTTCAAGTCTTTAAATAAGAAATATCTCCTGTATATATTTTTCAGAGAGAAGATATCTCATTTAATTTTTATAAATTCAACAGAAAATCAAATCCCACACCTTTAGAAACTAGCATCCGGCGGGGCATGGTGGCTCATGCCTGTAATCCCAGCACTTTGGGAGGCCGAGGCAGGCGGATCATGAGGTCAGGAGATGAAGGCCATCCTGGCTAACATGGTGAAACCCCGTCTCTACTAAAAATACAAAAAATTACCTGGGCGTGGTGGCGGGCGCCTGTAGTCCCAGCTACTCGGGAAGCTGAGGCAGGAGAATGGCGTGAACCCGGGAGGCGGAGCTTGTAGTGAGCCAAGATCCTGCCACTGCACTCCAGCCTGGGCGACAGAGCGAGACTCCGTCTCAAAAAAAAAAAAAAAAAAAAAAAAAAAAGAAACCAGCATCCAAAAGAAAACTATAGACAGTTTTATATGTGAACATTGAAGTTAAAATTCCTAATTAAATATTTTTAAAATAAGTTGGCAGTAAATGGATGGTCACTGAGTTATTCCAAGAAAGAGAAGGTTTTTTGCCATTATAGATTCAACTAATAAAATTAACCTTAAAAGCCTCATGCTTCTTCTAGTAAGTGCTAACATTGCATTTGATAAAATTCTGTGTCTAGCCTATGTTTTAAAAAATATATATATTACTTTTTGAAATTATAAAAGAAGAAATCAATGATAGCATGTGATAAAACTGCAAGCTGAGTGGAAAGCCAGCATAAGCACGATGGTTAGCTCTAGCAGCATCCCGTTAAAGCCAGGAACAGAGATACAAGGTGAAATTAAGTATAGATGAAGAATGACGTGGGATTCTTTTTTCTGTGGTAGTAGATTATATGATTGTACAGCTGGAAAATAAGAAATTAACTCCCAAACTGCCAGAAAAAGTAAGAGATTCCAGGAAGATGAGGAGTTAGAAAATTAAGATTAAAAAGTCAACATCTTTCCTATATATATGGAAGAAAATTTCCCATTTAGAATTCAATTAAAAATAACCTTGAGAATCTGGGAATATTTTGAAACAAAATTACACAATGCCTCTCTGATAATGACAACTAAATTCTACTGCAGAACGTCAGCATAATCCAAATCCAAATCCCCATTGACATTTCTTTTAATTTGATGAAGCAATTCTCAACGTTGCCTGAAAAAAAAATATGAAAATAACCAGGCTGTTTCGAAAAAGAAGAGTAATGTTTACTGAGTGGGAACCTGGGTATATAAAAAATATAATCTTTAGCTATATAAAACATATGTGGTATTTAAAATATATCTAGTACTTTACATAGTGTGATTCTCACATGAACTGATTGGCTAATTTCTAGCCATGATTCCACTAATCTATCAATGTAGATAAAGAGGCTGAGAATAAACATACTATTTCAACTGATGAAAAAAATAGATTATTTATTAAATGATATTGGTGCAACTGTTCACATTTCATTTTTTAAGGCTAGAAACTTATCACACTCATTATGACAAAATTAAATCACAAGTGATGAAAGATTTTCTTTCAGAAAATAACAGAAGTCTGAAAGCATAAAGTAAAAACAACATTGATATTTAAAATGTATAAATACTTTATTTTTTCTGATAGAAAATACCCCATAAACAAACTCAACTGAAAAACAACTAATATAATAATATTATGAATATGTATTACAAATAATCATAGCCCTAATAATTTTTGCAAATTGATAACTGAGTAACGAACACCTGAACACAAAAGGAAACTAGAAATGTACCAAAACACTTGGAAAAAGATGCCCTCACTAGAAGTCATTTTAAAAATGGACTGTTTTGCTCATTCAATTTGCAAAAATTCAAAACATCGTCAGAGCCCAGTGGAACTGAGATTTCAGAGAAACATGCATGCTCTTGCACTATTGGAGGCAGCAGATACAGGTAGCATCTTTCTGAAGAGTGGTTTGGAAATATGCATCAAAATGTTAAAATGTCACTTGGCCTACAAATGTCACAAAATGTCACTTGGCCTACAAATCAAATTTCTATTGTCATTTCCCAAGGACGGTACGTAGGTATGCCAAAGTCCCTGGGCATAGTTGTACAGCATTGTTTACAATAGCAAAACAAAACTTATTACATAAATCATTGCATATATGCCATATACACCCAGTGAAACACTGTGTAACAATTAAAAGTGATGATGCACATATACAGTTATTAAATGATGTCTTTGACATGTATTGAAAAGAAAAACCAGGTTAAAGAACAGCATGTATAGAATGATTAATTTTCGACTTGTTGTGTTACTCATGCACCCTTAATGTATTTATCTAGCTGATATGGTTTGGCTGTGTCCCCACCCAAATCTCACCTTGTATTGTAACTCCTACAATTTCCACGTGTTGTGGGAGGAGCCCAGTGGGAGGTGATTGAATTATGTGGGCAGGTCTTTCCTGCATTATTCTCATGATAGTGAATAAGTTTCATGAGATCTGATGGTTTTTAAAAGGGGAGCTTCCTTGCACAAGCTCTGTTCTCTTGTCTGCCACCAGGTGAGACATGCCTTTCACCTTCCACCTTGATTGTGAGGCCTCTCCAGCCATGTGGAACTGTATGTCCAATAGACCTTTCTTTTGTAAATTGCTCAGTCTCAGGTATGTCTATATCAGCAGTGTGAAAATGGACTAATACAGTAAATTGGTACCAGTAGAGTGGGTCATTGCTGAAAAGATACCTGAAATGTGGAAGTGACTTTGGAACTGGGTAACTGGCAGAGGCTGGAACAGTTTGAAGGGATCAGAAGAAGACAGGAAGATATGGGAAATTTTGGAACTTCATAGAGACTTGCTGAATGGCTTTGACAAAAATGCTGTTAGTGATATGAACAATAAGGTCCAGGCTGAGGTGGTCTCAGATGGAGATGAGAAACCTGTTGGGAACTGGAACGAAGGTGACTCTTGTTATGTTTAAGCAAAGAGACTGGTGGCATTTTGCTCTTACCCTAGAGATTTGTGAAACTTTGAACTTGAGAGAGATGATTTGATTTAGGGTATCTGGTAGAAGAAATTTCTAAGCAGCAAAGCTTTCAAGATGTGACTTGGGTGTTGTTAAATGCATTCAGTTTTATAAAGGAAGCAGAGCATAAAATTTTGGAGAATTTGCAGCCAGACAATGTGATAGAAAAGAAAAATCCATTTTCTCAGTAGAAATTCAAGCTGGCTGCAGAAATTTGCATAAGTAACAAGAAGCTGAATGTTAATCCCCAAGACAATGGGGAAAATGTCTCCTGGACATGTCAGAGGTCTTCATGGCCCCTCCTCTCATCACAGGCCCAGAAGCCTGGGAGGAAAAAATGATTTCATGGGCCAGGCCCAGGGTTCCTCTGCTGTGTGCAGTCTATGGACTTGGTGCCCTGTGTCCCAGCTGCTCTAGCTGTGGCTGAAAGTGGCCAACAAAGAGCTCAGACTATGGGTTCAGAGGGGGCAAGCCTCAAGCATTGGAGGCTTCCATATGGTGTTGAGTCTGTGAGTGCAGAGAAGTCAAGAACTGAGGTTTGGGAACCTCCACCTGGATTTCAGAGGATGTATGGAAATGCCTGGATGTCTGTGCAGAAGTTTGCTGCAGGGGCAGGGCTCTCATGGAGAATCTCTGCTAGGGCAGTGTGGAAGGAAAATGTGGGGTTGGAGCCCTCACACAGACTCCCTACTGGGTCACTGTCTAGTGGAGCTGTGAGAAGAGGACTATTGTCCTCCAGACCCCAGAATGGTAGATCCACTGACAGCTTGAGCTCTGTGCCTAGAAAAGCTACAGACACTCAATGCCAGCCCGTGAAAGCAGCCAGGAGGGGGGCTATATCCTGCAAAGCCACAGGGGCAGAGCTGCCCAAGACATGGGAACCCACTTCTTGCATCAGCATGACCTGAATGTGAGATATAGAGTCAAAGGAGATCATTTTGGAGCTTTAAGATTTGACTGCCCTGCTGGATTTCAGACTTGCATGGGGCCTGTAGACCCTTTGTTTTGGCCAATTTCTCCCATTTGGAGTGGCTGTATTTACCCAATGCCTGTACCCCCATTATATCTAGGAAGTAACTAATTTGCCTTTGATTTTACAGGCTCTTAGGCAGAAGGGATTTGCCTTGTGTCAGGTGAGACATTGGACTGTGGACTTTTGAGTTAAGGCTGAAATGAGTTAAGACTTTGAGGGGACTGTTGGGAAGGCATGATTGGTTCTGAAATGTGAGGACATGAGATTTGGGAGGGGCCAGGAGTGGAATGATATGGTTTGGCTGTGTCTGCACCCAAATCTCATCTTGAATTGTAACTTCCACAATTTCCACATGTCATGGAAGGAACCCAGTGGGAAGTGATTGAATTATGGGGGTGGGTTTTTCCTGTGAAATTCTCATGATAGTGAATAAGTCTCTTGAGATCTGATGGTTTTAAAAAGGTGTGTTTCTCTGCATAAGCTCTCTTGTCTGCTGTCATGTGAGATGTGCCTTTTCCCCTCCACCGTGAATGTGAGGCCTCCCCAGCCATGTGGAACTGTAAGTCCAATAAACCTCTTTATTTTGTAAATTACCCAGTCTCGGGTATGTCTTTATCAGCAGTATGAAAAAGGATTAATACACTAGCTCTCTCTCTGGAAGATATGAATGACAAGAAATAATGCTTTTCTCTGAATTATGGAAACTCAAGTGAATTTTACCTTCCTTGTACTCTTTTATGTTTGTAGACTGCTTCTTTCTTTTGTTTCGTCCTCTGCCTCCTCCTCTTTCTCTTCCGCCTTCTCCTACTCCTCCTATTAGGGTGTATCAAAGTTAGTAAAGAAAGAAAAAATCTTCATTTTGAAAGATAAAATATTCAAGATTTTTCGATATGTTCAAAACCCTTTAAAAAGTGCGTGTGGAGATGCAGGTGCCTATGTATCTGAAATGGTAGTTAGGAAACTCAGCTATTAGCCATGAGCTTTAAATCGATAGGAGACACACATTTAGAAGCCACATGATGTTTGGGAGTTTAATCTCCTAAGATAATCACACTTCTGCTGTGCTCTATTGTACAACTTGTCTCTTTAATGATATTTTCAAATTGCCCCATCAAGCCTAGATGAAATATTGCCACTGAGGGCAGTTAACTACATCCTATTATTCCCATGGCAGCAAGCTTTGTTATCATAAAAAATTAAGACTCAGAATTTAAATTTAAAGTTTGGCAATTTGCAGTGAGGTTTCCAACTTTTAATTCCAGCCTCCTCCTTTGGGAAATCCTGTGCTTTTGTGAGTTGTGTAACTCCTGTCTTTTGGGGAAAGAGCAGTCTAGACTCCACTTGAAAAGGCTTTTTGCAATTTCCCTGTGGCCCAGAGCAGTGGTTCTCAGGCTCACAGGAGCATCAGAATCTCCTGGAGTGCAGCCAAAACACAGATTGCTGGGCTGTACCCCACAAGTGCTGAGCTAGGAGGTCTAGGGGCCTTCTGAGGGTCTGCAGTTCTCACGAGGTCACAGGTGGGCTGAAGCTGCTGGCCCAGGGACCACATTGTGAGTACTGGCTTACAGTAATCCAGCTTATTTACAGGTCTGTATTTCCCATCTTTTAAATTGTAAACCTACAGATGATGCTTTTTAAGATACATTAAGAGGGTTGAGTCATTAAGCACAGGGTGCTCTTAAAAGGAGGCAAGAGGAGTTCATCTCGGTCCTCCCCTCATGAGTTCTGCAAGTGAGCACATATATAGCATATATACAGTGGCTTATGTTCTGCCTAACGGAAAAAGACTTGACCATCATGGCCAGACTCATGAAAACCAGGCACCTGGAATAAAATAAGTCTGCTGGGTTTCACCTCTTGTCTTTCTTCCTTCTCATTTTGTTTGGTTGGGGGGTGGGAATTTGTGTTTGTGGTGGGACCTTTGAGTATGTCTTTATTGAAACTTTTTTTTACCCCTCTGAAGTGGGAGCAGTTGAAGGAAGGGTTGGTAGTCAAGACGAGGGAGAAAAGATGACATTTTAAAAAGAAGTTGGGCTGAAAACCAATTTTTCAGGTTAACTTCAAGGTTTGAAACAATGTTAGTCTAATATGGAAGCCAGACAAAGTTAATTCCGGCAGGGACTTGCTAATGAACTCTGTATAGGAGACAGCCGGAATCCCGCCACCTTCTATTTCTAAATTTGCGGGTACACCTAAGGAGCTTGCACACTTAAATCTTCCATAAATCATACTTAGGTGAGATGCTTCCCCCTGCTCCATTTCTGCAATGATCTGTTGGAAAAAACTCTAGATCTTTATGAGGTGATGTCCATGTTCATCATTAATGAGATTCCCAGTTTAAAAAAAAAACCCTTTTGAGTTCTGTGTAGTTTAGCTACCTATTTTTCTTTTCTTATCACCAAATTTTATTTCTTTCAGGAATATTTCAAATTTTTATTAAGAATTTCTTCCTATTTTATGGAGAAATGAAAGTTGGAAAGGGGAAGATTTTGTTTCAACAAAATAAAAACGTTTTGAGAAGGCAGAGAAGTGTTTTAAATGGGGATGAAGTGACCCCCGCATGTTCCTTATTTCTGAAGATTTTCCAGCACGGGTTGAACAACAATAACAACTGCAGAAGACACTGAGTGCTGTGAAAAGAATTTCGCTTTGATGGTTTCTAGCGATGACTTCATAACTCACTGATCTTGTGGGTTCTGTCTTTGGGCAGTGGTTTCTCTTCCTTGGTTTTAGAGTGATTTATCCGTGAAATGAAAGCCTGACAAACATTTAATGTAAAAATACCATTGTTTCCTATGTGCGAACTCACGGGCTACCCTCTCCTCCCCATCATCCTCACTGCCTTCATTTGTCATCCTGGAAATAGCAGCAGTGGCATGTGGCCTGAAATAACTGCAGAGTCAGGAGAACAAAACTGAACTTTCAGTGCCCAAGATTTATGCATCAAAAATGTCTAGGTCCCAAAACATGCTTTATGAGAGCTAAAAAGGAGATCTAGTCCCTCTGCCTCAGGTGACAAATGGGCCATATGTCTGTGAGATTTACCTGCTCACCGGCACCTGATATTCGGCAAGCCTCTGAAATCATAAGGGATCATTCCAGGGTGCAGCATGGCCTCAGTCCAGTCATAGTAACAATCATCACTCATCATTGCAGTGGGAATTCCAGCCTAGCAGACTGTTTAAGAAAGATACAGGAACATGTAGCCAAGTGATATATGGTCACTGTATAATTACTCAACAATCACATATCTTCTCGAGTTACGAAAATGAGAAACTACCTCAATATTCCTGACTGCTGAGCACAATGTCTATGTTGAGTAAGATGTTATTGACATTGATCCTTGGGCCCCCAAACCTACCCATTTCATCCAATATTCAGAGTCCACTGGTGTAGAAACAGAAGCAGGGTAGCTTTCAGGCTTGGAAATCTCGTGGCTTTCATTTGATGACCACCTCCTTCCATTTCTATTTCCCTATTTCTCTTGAAAAAGCTTTGTTGTTAGTCATTTTCACTTTCTGGTTCTCTGTTTCTTATTATTCATCCATTTAAACTATAAACAAGGTTTAGTTTATAGTGGACTATTATTACGTTGACCACATAATACAACTTATTTTGTTCAATTAACCAAACCATATATATCTGTGGGGAGGAAAAAACAAATATCTACAAAAGTTGTAATGCACGTTCTTGTCTGCCTTGCAAAGACCTACTTTCCTCTCAGAGAGAAATGGGAGCTGTAGCCTACTACAGTTAATTTCCATCTAAGGTCTTTCAAAGGATACTATGTCTTTGTTTTGAGTTGATTAACATTTTTGTTTGTTTGTTCCTGGACATTGGCTGCCCTAACACACAAGGACACTACTACTTGTCAAGGAAGATAACTTTATGTTTTATTTTTAAATAAAAATTATAGTTTTTGAAGGGTGCTTTCTATGAAATTGTGTTCTACTCCAGAAGTAAAGTTAAACCAGTATCTTTGTCACATGTTGCCAAAGAACGGTCTTTATGGCAGTGCCATAAACGGAGATTCTGAGCTATTTCTAGACATGCTTGTCTGTTATGATGATAAAGAAGTCCATGATTTCAGCACACTCATTTAACTAGTGGGTTCAAATAGCCACAAATGATAGCTTTTCCATTTCACTTTTTTTGCTTGCCACTATTACTCACTTGGTTTAATGGAATATTTTCATTCCAGTTACGATTGCACCTCAATTACTAGGTCTGGTGGTTGATGAAATCAATAGAAGTAGCCACTGCTGAAATGGAATATCTTCTGGGTGAATCTTTATTACTTTACTGCCCCAGTAGATCTATACCCTCTCAGGGGTATTGGAAAACTTTCATTAAACCTTTTGAGAGTTATGATCTAACTGGGGAGACAAAATACAAACAGGCTAAAACTAAGTAAGATCACTGGATCTAAATAGAAATTTTCAATAAAACCTATGAGGTGCCACATGGTGGTCTATGATCATTGTTTGATTCAATGGTGAAGCTAATTCTAAGGCAGGATGTCTGATCTTCCAGAGATATACGTCACCTAATAGTTGTTACAATTGATTGGGTCATGCTGGCTGGCTCATGTCCACTCTCCTTCCAGCTCCCTTATTTAACTTACCTCACCTCCTGTACTCTCTGAAAATGTCATGTTCAGTCATTGAATTCTACTTCCTGAGGTGTAGCAGGGCCCATATTCACATGAGTAGCTGATGCATTCTTGTGTGTAAGAGGAGGAAAAATCACACCATGAACCAGAAGGAAGTTGGGAACTGTGACCTGGATCTTCAGCTCGATTTTTAAGGGTGGTAAGATTTGGAAGGCTTGAGTAGAGGCTTAAAACTGTATGAATAAAAAGGTAGAGAGGAAAACCCCGTCAGGCTGGAAAAGATAGGTTACTTGGGCAAGTACATTGGAAAGAGAGGTAGCACCTTATTAAGATTTGGGAGTCATCGGCCAAAAAGTGACTGCTAGCACTGTAGAAATAAATAGGATCGCCAAATAAGGGAATGCAATGAGAAAATAACTGAGGCCTGAAGCTTGAGAGGAGGAGGGGAATGAGAAGCTAGTAAAGGAGAAAGAGAAGGACCTCTGTGTACTCAAAGATGAAAGGCTCGTTGCTAAGAGGGATATCACATAAATTGAAAATTGGCAATGGTTTGGACCAAATGCTATATAAATCGATACTTTTCATTAACAAAGTGCCTTGTAATTTGATTTGATCTTATTTGAAGACATCATTACTTTTAAAGGGATATTTATGCTCCTAAGTTCAGGCATAGAAACGAGCATTAATCAAAGATATTAGCTCATGTTAATTTTTCTTTGCTACATTTATGCTTGAGTCAGTAATACCATTTTGGGCTATATCTACATAAAAATCTATATATTGAGAGAATGAGAGAGAGCAATGTTGTAGGGTAAAAAAGAAAAAAAGTCCTTTTGGCAATTAAGTGGATGGTTGATTCCCTTAATATTCTAAGAGCAAACACAGCTATCATTATGAATCACTATAGTTGATGAGTCTAATTCCTTTTAGTGCCATTACAGCAGATGCTCACATTTCAATCCTCCATGGACAGATCAATCTTCGTCATCTCCTCATAAATATTCCAACATCTATACTGGAGCTTTAGCATACTGCATTGGCATGAGACAGCAGCATCGCTTTTTGGTAAACTAGCAAAACAGCTACTTGGGAAACCGGAATAAGACAGCACAAAAATTCCTGTTATTTCCAAAAATAACAGTGGCCACCAGTTACCTGTGCATGTGAAGCTGTGAGTGTGAATGCACCCACTTGGCCAATGCTGGCTTTCTGGAGGAGTTTCCTCCAAAGGAGAGGTAGTTGAGGCCTTAGCACTTGTCACATGTAGCAGCATTAAATCAGAACCAGCACTAGTGTCAATGAAAAAGCCTTTCTAATGTAGGAGATTGAGAATGGCTACATTTGGTGGTCTTTTAAAAACAACCACCACACACACACACATACACACACACACACACATACACACACACACACACAGAGTCACACACATGTGCCAGTTTCCTGATTATTCCTGATTAGAATACCACATATGATTTTGGAATAAAAGGTGGCAAAAACTGCCTCAGGAAAGAAAATATTTGAGTTTTTTTTTTTTTTTTGTGAAAATTCTAGCCACTTTGATTAACTGGAATCCTTGAAGAGTTCCAAAGACTCTAGCTATTTTTTTTTTCTGTTCTACCTGGATAGAGGTTCAAAACAAGGCCTATGGCTGACTGTATCAGTTTCCTGAGGCTGCTGTGAAAAAGTCCCGCAAACTGGGAGGCAGAAACAACAGAAATGTATTCTCTCACTGTTCTTGAGGCTGAACTCTGAGGTCAGATGTCCGCTGGGTTGGCTCCTCCCCGGGCTGTGTGGGAGAATCTGTCCCAGGCTTCTTCCCAGCTCCATGAGGCTTGCTGGTAATCTTTGAAGTATCTGGGCTTCTGCTGCCTCACCCTGATCTATGCCTCCAGCATCACATCATGTTCTCCCTGTGTCCAGAGACCTGTGTCCACATTTCCCTTTTTCATAAGGACAACAGTATTAGATTAGGGACCGATCCTACACCACTAGGACCTCATCTTAACTAATTATATCTTCAATGACCCTATTTCCAAATAAGGTCACATTCTGAAGTACGGGGAGTTAAAATTTCAACATGTGAATTTGGGGGGGGGGATGCAATTCAACCCATAACACTGTGGCTGCTAATCCCCCCAAATTCATGTTCTTCTCACATACAAAGTACATTCACCTCATCCCAACATCCCCAGCTCTTTCCAAAGATGATCACACCACATCTTCCATCCAAAATACATTTTTGCAATGTCACTTGGTCTTTTCCACAGTAAGAGGGAAACTATTTCATCTCCCTTTGCTTTCGGTTACTCTTGACCTGTTCTAATCAACGGAATGTGATGGGAATGACACGGTGTGGCTTCTGAGGATGGGCCTTACAAGAGCTGTAGCTTCTGCCTTCACCTCAAGGAATGTCCATTATTGGGACCCAACCTCCACGTCAGGACAAAGCTCAAACTGCCACCTGGAGAAGCCCCAGTCTACAGCACACTGAACCCAAGCCAGGGATGAATACCAATTGCCAGCCATGATAGTGAGAATATTCTGAACTCTCCAGCCATCCCAGCACTTCCTATAACACCACATATAGTGGGAGAACTTCCTGGCCACATGAAGAACTATAATGAATAATTGCTCTTTAAAGCCACTGTGTTCTGAGGTGCTTTGTTAGTAGCAATAGAAAAAGTGAAACAGAATTTGGTATCAGAAGTGGGATGCAGTGAGCAATAACTGCACCATCGTACTCCAGCCTGGATGACAGGGCAAGACTTTGTCTCAAAATATTTTTTAGAAAATAAAAAAAGAAGTGGGATGCTTCAATAACACAAACCCAAAGCAGATGGTGTTGGCTTTGCTAGATAGAAACTTAAAAAATAGCAAGTAGATTTATTGCAGACCAGGAAGGTGGTAAGAAAATTGCCACTCAAGCCTGGGAAAATGGTGACCTGCATTCTGTAGTTGAAGAACATTTGGCAAAACTAATACTAGCAGGAACATAGAAGATAGAACATGGACCTAATGAACTTGTGAATTTGGCTAAGGAAATTCCCAGGCAGAATGTTCTAAGTGCCAGCAGGCTTCTTTGAGCTCTTGATAATAAAGTGTGGAGAAAGACCGATTTAAAAAGAAATGGATTTTTAAGCAGAATTTAAAGAAAGTATTCCAACTTAGATTTTGCTGGGTTAGAAAATACAACTATTTCTCATTTCTAGCCTGTCCAGTGGGCAGAAGGTTCTGAAAGTAAGAGGTGGCTCAGACAAAAATCAGAGACACTTACTGCCAGGACCATATGGCTTCATGTTTCAGGTCAAGTCAAGGACACGGATACAAAACCCTTTGTTAAGATCAGAGAATGTGTGAAAAGGGGCTTGTTACTCCTGAGCTAGACAAGTTTCTCCTAAGATTCCTAAGAGCATTTACCCATGGAACTCTGAATTACAGCTAAAGCAGAGAGAAGGCCCATTGCACAGAGATATGTAGGCAGAACTTTTGTCTGGCGGGTTGGATTATAATTGTATATCCTGAAATCCCACAGAAGCTGTATCAGTTTAGCCTGAAAGGGATAAAGACAGTGCAACACAGAAAGAAGTCTCCTTTCCCCCGATGTCCTGAGGGCTGTCCGAAAACTACCTAGTTGAAAGCATGGACTATTTCTTATAGAAAAGGAAGGGTGATTCAGAGGGTAGAACCAAAAGCTTGAAGGGAGAAGCCATATGTGGCGGAGAGCTGCTCCCAGCGGGGAGATCTAGGGTTTCTTCAGTGAGCAGGAGGAATTGCAGGGCAGACATGGCTGCGTTCCAATCGTTACATGCTTCCCCTTTCCTCCTGTGGAGTGTCTGCTGCAGATACTGTGTGTGTGGAAGGCAGTTGGCTTGTCTTTTTAATTCATGGATTTACCTGTGTCCGACTTAGATCATGAGATCCTAGTCTTTGCATTAGACCCTGACACCATAACGAGATGAGAGTTATGGACTCTTGGGAGAAAGTAAGTGTATTTTGCATGTCAAAGAATATAAATATTTTATGGCCAAAGGATAGATTCTAGTAGATTATAGATGACTACAAATTCTTGCTTCTTCTCCTATTGAGAGGCAGGGTTTATTTTCGTCCCCCTTGCATCTGGCCTGGCCCTTTGCCTGGATTTGACCAGGAGAAGGCAGCAAGGATGCTGATAGCACCTCTGTGGCTAGGAATCTATCTGCAGCTTCCACCTGTGCTCCTCTTGGGAAAGCTCTCATGGAATCCAGCCACATGTCAAGAACCCAAGTTTGGCCAAGTGGGAAACAGAGAGAGGTCTTGCAGCTCCTCCTCCAAGGTCCCAGACATGCAAATGAAACCATCTAACTATAACTTAATGACAGTGACCAATGTCTCAAAGAGCAAAATAAATGTCCTTTCCTCCCTGCCTAAACTTATGATGAAAAAATTGTGAACAAATAAAAGTAACAGACTCTTGGGGGCAGTTCGTTACTTAACAATCATAACAATGGGTAAACCAAACAACTTCTCAGACGAGACCACCTGCAGTAGGCTTGGCTCACGCCTTGGCCATGGCCCTCTCCAGAGATTAAATTTCCTGAAACTTCAGGTACATTGAGCACTATCCCAGTGTACCGTATATATGTGTTTAATTAAAATAGAAGGAGTGTGTTTTCATGTGATTAAACTTGAATTACACGGCATACATATTATTGAATTCTCAAAAATGGATCAAGTTCCCTAATATTTTATCTTGGTTATGTTGAATCTGTCTTATAACTAAAACTGTTAGCCTGACTATACCATTTAGAGCTGGTCATATTTGATGAAAATACGCAGATGATCCATCAGAAACCATGTGAGGACAGTGAGTACAGAGTGAAGAAACACGATTCATGTCTCAGTGGGCATGGTAGCCCTTCTAGATCTTTGGCATCGAATCCTTCCATTTCTCCCTCATTTTCATTTACAGAACACAGTGTTTACTACGTGCAGTGGATGAAAGTTCTGAAAAGAACTATGAAGTACAAAGAGAGAAAAGGAACATTTTAAATAAAGACAAATTCAAAACCCCAAACTCTTTGAAATTTCAAATAGTTTTCCCTTATTCACATCCATAAGCTGTAAATGAGGAACGATGTGAGACATCAGGGTCTTGTTGGAGTGTTTAGCTGATCACAGACCTTCTTTCTCTTTTCATGTCCCCTGATTTCCATTTGGGGAGCTGTGAGCTATACCCACAGTTATTACCAAAATTGATTTCGAGTCTACATCTAAAGCATTATCCACTACTTCTCTGAGGAAGATGAAATATATATTTATCAAAATGTCTCGGCTGAATAAAAGATAAATAAAAGCTGATGTAATAATACCAGTATATTTGTATTTTTAAGCAAGAGCATCGTCTTTTTTTTTTTTTTTTAAATGGAGTCTCTCCCTGTCTGTCGCCCAGGCTGGAGTGCAGTGGTGAGATCTCTGATTACTGCAACCTCCGCCTCCCAGGTTCAAGTGATTCTCCTGTCTCAGCCTCCTGAGTAGGTCGTGCCTGCCACCATGCCCGACTGATTTTTGTATTTTTAGTAGAGACAGGGTTTCGCCATATTGGCCAGGCTGGTATCGAGCTCCTGACCTCAGGTGATCCACCCGCCTCGGCCTCCTAAAGTGCCGGGATTATAGACATGAGCTCATCATTCTTTCATTTCAAATTTTCCTCCTTCCATTGCCATCTGTGAGGCTGGCTTCCCCGCAAGTGTAGTGAGCCGACAAGGGAAGCAGGTGCCGTAAGTAATAGATGTCTAAGAAGGTTGTCTGCAAAGACAGGTACACCTGTAAAGGACAATTGGCATGCTGTTGGAGTTTCCACAGATAATTACATTACCCAGACTTGTAAAATGTCAGACATAAAAGAATAAACAGGATTCTGGATTTGGTGGTTCTTTCTAATCAAATAGAGCCATCTATGGAGCAAATCTTTATTTCACTGGTTTATGTCAGAATGATGCCCTTTCGTCAGCAGCTCTTTATTCACGAAATATTGCACAGGCAAGCATTTTTCCCCTCTCCACAGTATTAATTAAATTACATAAAACTGGCAGTGTTTAAATTCTGGCATCTGTATTGTCTCACTTAATTACACCCCTGGACTCCTTTCAAAATCCTTTCATTTGCTACAGGGACATCTATCGGTGAAAGGGGAAGAAATCAGATGCAAGTGATCAAATGTAATTTGGGGTTTGCACCTGGCCCCATCCCCAGCCTTGCTGAACCGATTCCTGCAGTCTGTCTGTCTGGAGCACTTCCACCCTGTGCAAAATGGCTATCATTAGATAGCAGAGGGAAACTAACGCAACAACAGAGATTTCGTTTTGAAATAAGGAAATTCTATCGTTGGGCCTCACAAATAAAATACTTTTCTATATTCTTTCAACTTTTTTCAAACCCACTCAAGAATACCCTAAAGTGAAATACATTTTTTCCCTCCCCAGTCTCAGCAACCCACTTACGTCATTTAAGGAGCTTCCTTATAGCTCGAGCTCACAAGAACTGTCCACAAGCTCACAGTGAACGCCGTGCCTCGGAGGAGGTGTCTGAAGGCCAAGCTCGGCAGAGGCCGGTTCTGCCTTCCCAGGGCTTGGGCAGGGTGGACAGGACATTCGCAAGGCAGAAGAGTCAAGCACCCAGCTCCAGCTGTCCGGTTAAAAACTGTTGCCAGAATAAAGATTAAGGACTCCCACAAGATTTTTTTTTTCTTTCTTTCTTTTTTCTTGCCAGTTCTTTCTCTTTTTTTCTTTTAAACTTAATGTGTCCAAAATCAAATTAGTTTATTCTCCAGATCTACTTATCTCATTTATGTTTATTACTTTTTTTTTTGTCTTAGTGAATGACTGCCATCCAAGCCAGAACCTGGGGTCATCTTTGATTTTTCTTGCCCCCTACATGCAGCCCCCAAATTTCAGCCTCCACCTGCTTCTCACCCCTATTGCCACTGCCTCAGTGTGGACAATCGCTAACCTGCAGCTGGGCTCTCGTGCATTCTCTAGATCCTCGGAACTCTTGGCCCTTTTTCCACATCCTGAACCTGCCACTGGTGATCCTTCGAAAATGTGAATCTTGCACGGTTACTGCTCAGTGGCTCCAAATTGCCTACACAATAAAATCCAAACTGCTTAGCATAGAAATTGGGACCGTCTATGATCCGGACCTTGATTCCCTCATCAACCTCATTTCTCTCTCTATTAAATTGTTCACTGTTGTTGAACCACTAAATAGGATCTATAGACTGAAGTGTTAAAACAGATACTTAGATTCTACTAAGAAAATACGGTGCGAAATTCATCAGATTTTTCCTTTTTGTGGAAGCACTTTGAAGAGAGAGAAAATCTTAGGTTTGATTAAGAAACAGTTTTGCTGGTTATAATGGAGCATGGATTTATTTTTTGAACTAAAATTAACATATTTAACAATTCAGAAGATACTGTTGTTAATCAAACAGCTAAAAGTTTATCTGTCTTTCTTTCATTGCTCATCAAATATTCAATGAATGCTCGCAAAATGCCATCCAATGCAGCGGGCACTGACCGCAGGAAGATAAATGGGTCCTGTTCCAGCCTTCCATGAGCTCACAGTCTAGGGCAGAAAAAGACAATCAAAGCCACGTGATAGAGTGTGGCTAATCAGAGAAACACAAATACATTTTTAGCTGTTTGGTTAATAATGCTATTTTACAAATAGTTAACTGTATTAATTTTATTTCAAAAAACATTGAAGTTCCATTATAAGCAGCAATTGTTTCTTTTTTTTTTACTTGTATGATCTTTATTATAACCTCCATAATAACCTGTACTTACAAAAATAAAAAATAAAAATGTAAGTTATAGGAACAGTATTCTCCGAATTATTTGACATTTAAGACCACTGACAAAAGGAATCACTAGAGATGTTTCTTAATCAAACCAAAGCACCTGGCTTAACCTAGCTTGTGTTAATTACATCTCTATATCACATGTATATCTCAGGTAGTAAAAACCTCAGGTAAAACTCACTTGAGAAAAAAGAGGTTTATTGTTTTACAAAAAGGAAAATTTCAGGGTGGGGGTTGACATTGACGTTTAGTTACAGTTTGATCCAGGTACCCCACTATGTTCTCAATTTCACTCTCCTTCTCTCAACTACAGTTACATCGCTGTTTGTTTTTCATACATCGACCATCCTCATGCAGTGACAAGTACTGACACTAGAAACTCCAGGCTTTCATTTAATCAGTTAGTCAACTTTATAGAATCAAAGAAACCTTTATAGTAATTCTGTAAAACGGTCCCAGATGATTGAACGTTCCTGAACTTGCTTGGGTCAAATGCCTACTCTTGATCCAAACATGTAGCTAAAAGAATACAAAGTACTGATTGATCAACATTATCCTCCTAAGCTCGGGGTCAAGGCATGGGGTAAGCTTACTCCAAACAATGCAAGCTGAAAGTACAGAAACAACAGTTCCCCAGGGGAAATTTACCAAAATAAAGAGGAAAAGATGTTGGACAGGCAAGAAACAAAATATAGTTATTACTGTGCTTGAGCTGAACCTTGAAAGATGAGTAGAAGTTATCCAAGTAGAAGAGATGATGAAAGTCATTCTAGGCAAAGGTAGCAGATATGGAAAGACAGAGCATAAGAACACATGGAACCTTCAGGTACCTTTTAAAATTATTTCAATTTGATAGAATAGGTGTGGATATATTGCAAGTTAGAGATCCGGACATGTTGATTGAAATTGTAATGAGTCGCACTGGAGAGACAATGTGAAGTACTTTTAAGTTTCAGTAATCTTTTGGGGAAGACTTCACGTGCCAGAAACACAAATACTTTTAACATTTCAGTAATATTATTACTAACGATTAGGTAAAGCCATCTTCTGAAGAATTACGACCCTTGTATCTTTGTCCTTTGCACCCAGTTGTGGTCAAATGGCTAAAGATGGGTTTCTGACTTAAAAGCAAGCTGGGATACAATCTCTCCCTTTAGAGAACCCCCATATAGGTGGGTCGTTTGCCAGGTCCATCAGATCAGCACTCTAGGGAGAATTAACTAGTAACAAGTAGACCTAGAGCGGTAGGAGAAGAGGCAGAGAGTGGCTGAATAACCTCAATGGCAAGAACTAGAGATGGGGTGACAAGAACACAGCTACTAAAGCTGTGGTGTGTCTTAAACCAACATTCCAGTTCCTGCAATAATATTCTGGGTTCTGCTGTGCAGATGGAGTCGCTGCTGTTGCTGTCCTTTGTGTATCTCTACAATGAACTCCTAATCTTATGGTCACCCCGGAGGGCCTCTGTTTCTTGCTACCCAAAGGAACTCAAACAATTTAAGACCCTGACATGTGTCAATCCACAGTCTTCATGATAAACTGAAGGCATTGGAAAAACTGAAGCATGTTATTGTAAAAATTCATGTTAAGTTTATGTTTCCCAATTAATTAAGCAAAGGAGTACACCCTAAAATGGAGGAAGGAGAAGTGAACAAACTACTCCATTTCTTCCACGTACATGGGAAAGTTTTGCTACTCTCATTAAAACAGAAACTCTTATTTTCAGCCTCTTCATTTGGTAACAATAAAATATTTTTACAACCAAACAATGCTTTAGAGATCATGGCAGCAAACCCAGGATTTCAGTCTTCTTGATACAGGTGTTACTGCTGTAATGTCAACAGTAGAGTTCAGATACGTCTAAGAAGAAAAGCAAATCCAGCACCCAGTCTGAAGATGCCTATAAATAACACATGGGTGAGTCACACCTCCAAGGGTCTCAAGATCCTTATTTGTATTACAAAATGATGTATTTCAGTCTATATTTTAAATCTGAAGCTTGCAATATTCTATTTGTCTTTAACTGTAGAAAGGTTAATAATTCTGCCATGAAATAAGTGAGTGAAAAAAATTTCCTGAAAATTAATTTACATATTGATTTTTGCAAATGCATTTTACTAAGAACCACGATAGTGATGAGTTAAAAAAAAATCATTGTCCTTATATACCACACCAAATAATTGCTCTTCTAAAAATGTAATTTCAACACACGCAAGAATCTAATGCATTTTTCTCTTCTTGTTCTATGAAAGAGGCACCTGGAAACAGCTACACCAGAGACACAACGGGTGACTTTCACAGACAATTCAACTTTGGGGCATACTCTGGATTTGCAATTGTGCAGCTTCTCTCCCCACAGGTTATTATGATGAGGTCAAAACATTTACATTTATATTTGTTATCTGGAAGAGATAATTAGATATTTTCACTGCAAAATAATTTACATTAATGGGCTGTAACCTTCAATATGTAGTTTTAAACTGCGCATTTAAATAATAGAATATCTGTCTCCCTTAATTTTACCGTAATTGTCTCCATGCAGTAGCTTTATTTTTCTTCTCAAAAACACATCCTAACACATCCTAGGCTTAAAAAACATCCTAAATGTCTTTAGTTTATGAGTTTGAAATTTTGGGACAGGTAAAACAACAAGCTTGTTCAGAATTTTACTAAATTTGTAGTAAGCAAAATGAAAGTGGCTGTGAAGTAAAAACAACAACAGAACTGCAGCTCTGGCTGAAGATCTAAGGACTGTATGTGGGACAAACTTGTCCTCCTGGGGCATGTGGCATAAGGGAGAAATGTAGGGATTTATTGCTTTAGTCATTTCTGTGTATAATCCAAAATACTTATCAGATGTTAATTAGAAACAAATTTGCCTTACTTAATTATATAACCTAAATTTATTCTCAGCCTATGTCAATAACTACCAGTTATTGGTTAACAACCAGTTTTTATAAATTGTGCACTGAATATTTTGTCCGTTCACTCCCCACTCCGCCAACTGTTCCATCAGCCGTGATCTATGGGCTGAGATAGGTTCACGAGATAGAGAGAGTAATAGCCCTCAAGGAATTCAGTTTAGAATACTTCATATCTACCATCTATAGATGGGCTTTGTCCTAGCAGATTCTTAGCACCAAGATTTACAATTACAAAATTGATTGCCTGTAATAAGGGCTTCTGAAATATAAATGGGATGCTCCCACTGAAGAAATGTAGGCTTAGCCTGAACAATTCTTTAATTAGAAATCAGAAGTGAGTGTCCCTATGCTCAACTGATATTGGTGAAGTTGGGTATGATTTAAACTATTTGTTTTATGCCCTCTTTTTACAATAATTTAGGAAGTATTGAAAGATTCCAATTTCTTGTGAGTTGAGATAGACAATAAAATATACAAATAGGCAAAGTTCTTTAGTAATCTGCATCAAAATATTTCAGGCTTTTGCGTCAGAAGACACAACTTCTAGGTAAGCTAATATGGAAAAAATGACCTTTCTAAGTTACTTAACTTTTTAGAGGTTCAGTTTCCTTGTTAATAAACATGTGCTGTTATCGGTGACATTAAACAAATATTATATGTCACTATGATGTGTGTGTGTGTATAAGCACCATGGAAATGCATATATATATAAACACTAAGGCTGCAATAATGATAATAATAGTAATAATAGATGATCCCCACATAAGGTCTTTAGGGGAATGTTCAAGATAAAATGCTAATCATTCAATCTTCAACTGCTCCCAGGGCTATATTCTTTGTAGCTTCTTTCCTAATTATGCTTTTTCCTAAGTAATATAAACATTCCCCAGCAAACCTGCTTACACTACTAATTAGTCACATCTGGAATAAAGTATTTGCAAAGATAAGAGTCAACAAATAGCTCTCTAAATTATGAAGGCCTTTTGAAATTAGTAGACTCCGAAAAACGTGGTTTGATTCTACAGAGTATTCCATTCATTCTATTAATGCTTAATGTGTACCATTTAAAGCAAGAGGCCACTTTTTCATATTCTAAAAAGCCTCTAAGTAAAGAATGCACATCTCTAATGGTACTACTATGGTCTGAATGTTTGCATCCCTCCAAAGTTTATATGTTGAAACTTAATCTCCAAGGTGATGGTAATGGAAAATGGTGCCTTTGGGGGGTGATTAGGCAGAGCTCTCATGAATAGGATTAATGCCTTTATAAAAGAGACTTCAGAGAGCTAGCTTAGCCCCTTGTACCATGTAAGGATGCATGAGAAAGTGCCGTCTATGAAACAGGCAGTAGGCCCTCCCCAGACACCAAATCTGTTGGTGCCTTGATTTTGGACTTTCCAGCCTCCAGAACTATAGGAAATAAATTTCTGTTGTTTATAAGCCAGCCAGCTAATGATAATGTCATAGCATCCCAAACAGACCAAGAAAGGTACTTTTAGTTTCATTTGTTGTTAGCACTCAAAATATCAGTAAAAATCCAACTCACTGACCAGTACCTAGATCTCTGTATTGCAAGGGTTCTTTTACAGTATGAATGAAGTTGCCTTGAAGGTGATTTTGTTCCCAGCATTTCTGTGGCATTTACATTCTAGATTGAGCTATCGTAATTAATTGAATATTATTCATCAGATGATTGTGACTTTGGGCTATTTTTCCTGCAGGTGGCACCTGAGCAGCTCTTACTAGATCATTGTGATTGGGTAAGGGCACCATTGAAATTCCTACTCTGCTGAAATTCTGTTCTGGCAACTTTGTTTTTACACACATGTTTCTTGTCTATATAGAACCTGTAACTACACTTTTGTAATTCAAATTCTCTTCAATTAGTCTGATACCATAGAATTACCTTCAGCCTAAAAACGAATATCTGGCATTCCCAATGTAGGAAGCAAATTGAATTGAATTGCACTAGTCATAAAAGTCACCTTCAAAATACTGTGGTCATCACTTGTACGGGTTCCTAGATTGTAAGGATTTTAATATATTTAATGTGAGAAATGTGTGCTTTCTAATCCAGCCTTTGCCTAGCCTTCAAATCACATTTACTGCATGCCAGCATCCCAGGTGCTGTTTGAGGCACTAGGGATATACAGGGGCCCTGTTCTTCAGCATTGTGTTTTTGTATGGTGAAATAGACAACAGAAAGTTTAAAAAATAAAAATAAACATGACAATATTAGATAATGAAAAAAATGTAATGAAAAATTGAAGAGACTGTATATGTGTGAGAGAGATTAGTCAGTTTGGAGTTTGGGGTTAATGTGATTGAGAAATCAGGCCTTGAGATCATAATCCAGCCAGAGGATTTCAGGAAGACGGAAGCGTCAGAGGAACATCTTGGGAGGGAAGCTGAGCTGGCTGGGTTCTAGGGACAGGGAGATGCCAGAGGGACCTTCACATGAGAAAGGGGAGCTTCCGAGGAAATGAGGTTAGAAAAGTGAGGTCTGCAGACAAGGATAAGAAGTTTGGATTTCGTAGAACACAGATCTGCAATGAGCTTGTTCTTTTTTTTTTTTTCCTCCATATGTTCTTCTGTACATTTGTTTCAATTTATTTAGTAGAATTATTTTTTGTGTTTCGATATGAAAAACTTAAATCCAATAGTATCTATGTGAAGAGTTGTGAAATAACTAACTTTGGGTAATTAATATATAATTAAATGAATTATTCATATCTTCAAGTGTTACTGGACATTGGTAAGCAGAATGGTCATAAAATTTAAAAATATCAATTTGTACTATTATAATACTGAGAATATAATTGTTAAAGGATGTGGAGAAACAGTGAGATTTACAGAATAAGGGCTTTAGAAACTGAATTCACGAAAAGAATTCATGAAAAGATGTTCAATATCACTAGGAATCAGGGAAACGAAAATCAAACCACAGTGAGGTAACATGTTGCGCTCTTATTTGCAAAAATTAAATATCTGACTGCAACAACTATCGTTGAGGTTTGCAGTGGAAACTGTCATTCAATGCTTGTAAGAATATAAATTTGAACAAGTATTTTGAAGTTCAATATGGCATATTTAGTAAAGTTTAAAAAATACACATCCTCTGATTGAGTCATTCTGCCTGTAGGTATAGGGGCATAAACCTAGGGAGACATAAGCAAGGATGTTCACTGCCCCTGAGATAACTCAGAAACAATCTAAATAATCACTTCCAGGAGGATGCATGAAAGAGATGTATTTATGCCATGGAACATGATAGAGAAGTGAAAATAAATGAACTAGCACTACATGTATCAACATAGATACTCTCACAAACATCGTATTAAATTAATAAACATAGTTTTGGAAAAATACATATGGTATTGTATTAGTGTGTTCTCACACTGCTATGAAGAAATACCTGAGACTGGGTAATTTATAAAGAAAAGAGCTTTCATTGGCTCATGGTTCTGCAGGTTGTACAGGAAGCATAGCAGCTTCTGCTTCTGGGAGGCTTCAGGAATGTTCCAATTATGGCAGAAGGTGAAGGGGGAGAGAGGCACTTCCCATGGTGGGAGCAGGAGCAAAAGAGAGCAGGGACGTGCCACATACTTCTAAACAATCTAAACAATCGGATCTCGTGAGAATTCACTCATGATCACAAGAACAGCGCCAAGAGGATGGTGTTAAACCAGGAGAAACTGCCCCCATGATTCAATCACCTCCCACCAGGCCCCACCTCCAACATTGGGGATTACAATTTAACATGAGATTTGGGTGAGGACACAGATACAAACCATATTGGGTATGATACAAATTCTGTAAAGCTTTAAAAATACAAAACGTAATATATATTGCTCAGAGGTATACATAAGTGGCATAATGCAGGGAAGTGATAACAATTTCTGTTTGTCACAGGAAAGAATAATCACATTACAATTTCTGTTTGAGCATTAACTTTTGCCAATTTGTCAACAACTCTGTCAAATTAATCATGTTTGCATACTCACGTTCAGCAGAGAGTAGGCCCAAATCTGTTCATTTATCATTATCAATAGCTAATTGAATAATGCTTTTTATTAATTTTAAAATTTCTTTCACTTGAAGTAAAAGATATAGCAAAAGTCTTCAAAAATAATGATATGTTTGGCAGAGATTATTTTTGAGACAGGGTCTCTCTTTGTCACCCAGGCTGGAGTGCAGTGGTGCACATGGCTCACTGCAGCCTCAACCTCCTGGGTCCAAAGGCTCCTCCTGTCTCAGCCGCCTGTGCAGTTGGGACTACAAGCGTGCACCACCATGCCTGGCTAATTTTTGTATTTTTTGTGGAGATGGGGTTTCACCATGTTGTCCAGGCTGGTCTCGAACTCCCAGGCTCAAGCAATCCTCCTGCCTTGGCCTCACAAAGTGCTGGGATTACAAGTGTGAGCCGCTGGCCTGCTTCACATTTTAAATGCCATGAAAACTGAAAGTGATCATGGAATAACAGAATTGGAGCAACTCAATTAAATTGTTTCATTTTTTTCCCACCACGCTTTCAATTTTTATTGTAAATCTGCCGGTTTTACTACAAGGTTTGAAAACGTTAACGGAGTCCAAAGTAAGCTTGTATTATCCCAAAACTTTGCAAACTCACTCTCCAAACTGACACATGTAGCTGAGTTCTCTGAAATAACCGTCCTGTCGGATACAACTTATGTTAAGGATAAATAGTAAAAATATGCTTCTTTGGAGTTCACAGATAGATTATTAAAGCTTCATACTAACAGAACTCGAACCAACAAATGATTGTTTTAAGAGAGTATGTTAGCACTGAAGTAGTTTAGAATTACACGGTCATGGTGATAATAAAAAGCAGGCTGGCTTTTTGTGAGTTTGTTATTATTTGGAAATTTGATACAGACAACATCCCCTCTCTTTGTCTGCACTCAGGAGAGCCCCCGTCTGTAGTACACCATAGATTGATCTGTGAACTTGCTGTGTTCTTTTCCATTTTTGCTTAAGTCTTTCTCTTTCCTGATCTCCATATCCCGACTATCCATCCTCTCGAAGTCTACTTTTAATCCCTTTCTTCTGCTAAACCTTCCTGAACCCAAAAATGACAGCAAGCTTTCCAGCACTGGACCTCTGAAGACACTATCCTCTACCATACATAGTACGGTTGATGCCTTCCTAGAATTGCCTTCCATTTTTAATACACTTTTAATCTTCAGTAGTCATATTAGAAAGTTGCAGAGACTATCACTGTATTTTCATAGGTCTTTTGAAAACCTTCTTGACTGATGCAAAGGACAGGAGTGAAGAGAGAAAGGACTTCAATTACATAGCCATTATATTTGTGCAGAATGAGTAAGGCACATTTTCGTAAGCCAAAAATCACTCAGGAAAAGACTCAGAATGCAGACTCCCTGCCCCCACCCGAAGAGACTCGGACCCCCATTATCCCGCTGCAGCAGGAATTTCATATTTTAATCAGTGATATTACCCCCAACCCAGCAGCTGACATTGATGCAGGTGATCCTTGGACCCAAACGGGAAAAACACTTTCTCAGGGGAACTGGTATTTTGTATTGGACGTAAGACACTAAGGACTTTAGGGTATTCCCAATCTTGATTAAACCGACCCTGGAATGATAAAGTGAAGCTATTGTCCAATTCCATTTATGTTAGTAAACAAACATTAGAATAAAATAATGATTGAGAAAATGTTTGTAAACCATTTGGTGCAATGCAAATATGGCTACTAGTTTTACATTGAGGATGGTGGTTGACAAAATATTATTGTGTATGTTTTGGATTAAAAAATAGGGGGGTGGGGTAGGATCATTGGTTCTGTAGTGTGACTCTTGATGATTTCAATAAATGTGTTTATACCAATTCATTAATGGTGTGAAATTGATGTGGGCCAAATCCCTGTCTCAGAGGCAGTGCTGAATGCTTTCTCAATGCCCTCAAACAAGTTTTCAAAACCTGCAAAAATGTCTGCAGAAAGTGGAAAGGGGAAATTAAATTTAGTTTTGTTTGTAAATAAGAAATATTCTGAATCCAAACACATATGCTCTATGCTAAACTCTTACCAGATTAGCATAATCAGAAAGTTGAATTTGTTAATTCTAGATCAAGGAAGGAGTTCTAATCCATGTGTTTCTTTGCACAATTTGAGGACCTATTACAGACTCGGACAGAACATGCTCATTTGCCATTTTAATCATGGCATTCTTTTTGTTGTTGTTGTTGAGATGGAGTCTTTCTCTGTCACCCAGGCTGGAGTGCAATGGTGCCATCTGGGCTCACTGCAAGCTCCGCCTCCTGGGTTCATGCCATTCTCCTGCCTCAGCTTCCAAGTAGCTGGGACTACAGGTACCCGCCACCACGCCCAGCTAATTTTTTGTATTTTTTTAGTAGAGATGGGATTTCACCGTGTTAGCCAGTATGGTCTCGATCTCCTGACCTTGTGATCCACCCGCCTCGGCCTCCCAAAGTGCTGGGATTACAGGTGTGAGCCACTGCACCCGGCCCATGGCATTTTTATGGAGCACAACTCATCCAAAGTTGTCTTTGCTTCCCTGAAAGCAGTGAAGGTCTCGATGGCCCACTTTGAGGGAGATGGAGGAGACATGGGGGCTGTTTCATGTGCAATATTAAACAGCAATTTGTGATACAAGGTGGAGAAGAATATTGCATTCTTGTGTGGAGAGGAAATAAAGAACATGATCTCCTCGAAAGAAACGGGACTAAAACCAATGCCGTGCTTGGGTTAGGGCAGCGGGAGGATGTGACTGTGTCTCCAGTGGGAGAGACTTTCCTCCAGTAGCCATTGCCAGCTGCCTCGCTGATGGCCATTCAGCAGTGACCCTGAGCACGGGCACCTGCCCTGATTCCCAGCCATGCCAGTGGAGCTTCCTTCAAGGTCTTCCCTCCTACGAGTGAACCAGCTTAATCTGGGCTTAGCATGGGAACCGGAAGGTGGGAGGTGGATGAAAGTAATTGGCAGGTGAAAGGAAAAGCAACCTCAGGGTAAGGCCACGGCTGGGAGCCTGAGTTTCCGTCCTGCGGTGACTTTAATGAGTCTCCTCTGGTTGACTTGCAGCCCTGATTAAATACCATTCCTGATGAATGAGCCGGCACAGTCCACGCTGGGACGTCGTGTAGTGCAGGTGGAAGTCAGAAGGGCATGTTTAAGGACATTATGCAGGTCACACAATGACGAAGCCCAGGGAAGAGCACAAATGTCAGGAAGCCGTTTGCCTTCCCACTAGGAAACTGCACTCCACTCTTCTTCCAGGAAGGTGACGTTCCTCCCACTGTCCTGTTTTCCTCCCCAGGCTTAGCAGCTCACCGCATACTGCGCACTTCAGGGTTCTGAGGTATCAGGACCTGATATCCTCTGGCTCACACTTGATCTACTTAGGCTTCTTAGGAAATGACCTGTTTTATACATGCATATTTTCTAAGTAGACATCAAAGCTTCCTTTTTAGCATGGTAAAATTTATTAAATTATAATACTTCTTTTTTTTGCTCTTTACTTGCTTTGCTTTTTTAAAATATTAAAATATTATACTTCTTTTTAGCCTACGACACATGACTTAAGTAATTCCTTCATGACTCAGGCTCCTTCCTACCTTTGGCTGTGAGTTATTTTGTGGTGCCAGCAAATAGCAATGCAATGTTTGCCCTGACTTGAAATTGTCCTTCTCCCTGGGCCTTTGAACACTTCTGCTTGATTTTTATGCTTCCTTGGCTCTTTCCATCACTTTCTCTCCTTGCTCAAAGTGATGCTGCGCAGCTTCCATTCTTCTCTCTCTTCTAATTTGATTTTTAAATAGGCCACATGACCAGACTGTTTTTCAGAGTGTATGTAAAGTAAGGATGAATGAGGATCCAGGTGACAACTGATGAACTAATTCATAATGAAACACATGACTTTTCAAGTCATCCATAATGAGAGACCAGACAACTATTTTACTTCCCAGTTGGATTCATTTTCAATGCAAATAGTTGAGGCTTCTGGTTAAGTAGGCCTTCAAACAAGTAAGATGGGGCTGGGTGATGTCACCTTCTAATTTTTTGATTATTGATATAATCCCTTCAGAACAGGAACTGAATGACATGTATATAGTTTGTATTAATATTAGTAGTGCCTAGGCCTTATATGACATACATATTTAAAGGAAATATTAAAATATTTTCAATTGCAACATGAAATATTTCTCTGGAAGATACTCACCCACGAAATGATCTATGTATACTTCTGTCCACAGCGGCATTGTTTCGAGTGGCAAAAGGCTAGAAGCAACTTCTATATCCTAGAGAGGGGCAGTCTGAAGCAACCGTGAGCCACCTTTCCAATGGACTAGTGAACAGTTGCAAAAATAGAAGCAAAAAGAAGGATGTTCTGTGTGACTTCTGCAGTGCAATTTCTGATCTGGTGACAAGACTGCTGTAAACAGCTGGCCCACAGTGCATCCATGCAATGGAGGCTGATCTCTAGTTCTTCTGGTTGGTGGGCAGCTCTCCCATGGGGACTGCACCCGTTTTCTCTTCTGATCCCATTGTCCTCTAAGGCCTCGTTGTCTGCATCGAGCTGATGGAATGGAACAGAGGCATGGTAGAGGCAGAGTTGTTTCTGAAAGTCTTTGACGTGAAAGCGCGCATGCCTTCTACTCCCATTCTACATGAAAGAACTGCTCATATGTACATATTCAGATTCAAGGAAGGCTGGGAAATGCGATTCTGGCTGAGCAGCTGCTTTTGAACTGTGACTGTTTCCTAGGAAAGGAGAGAATACGTTTGCTGAACACCTAGCTGCCTCTGCTACCATCTCATTTACTTATCATTACATGAAAAAGCAAGATGCATAATATTGTTACTGTGCCGGCTATTTGTCTAAAGAGGCGTGGCGTATATATCTGTACCTATATATGCAGCTCCCATGCTGACCTATGGGAGAGGACTTTTGGGAATTAGTAAATGGGAGATGAAACAGAAGAGAAACTTCACTACACTGTATACTCTCGTAGGTGTTTGAGATGCTACCAATGGAAATTAAATTACCTACTCGGAGAGCAAAATAAATTTAAGATGTTAAAAAAAAAGAGAGAATGCCACCAATCTGGACAGAAGGTAAAGAACATGACTCCCAGACACACTGTAGACCCATCTGGCTCAGGGCCATCCCATCCCACAAGCAGCGTGGGAGTGGATGAAGCCATCTGGGAGCCCCCGTCAGGAGCTGCAGTCTTGAAGACTGTGAGCAAAGCGTAGGCGAAAATGTACCAGAACTGATGTCATTAAAAGAAAGCTGCTTTTCTTTGCTCAGAGAAAAGAGGCAGAAGTTTATAGAAAGAAGATCTCACTTCGTGTGATCTGTGAAATATACATAAGCAAAGCAGGTATATTTTCATAGCTTTTATGTAAATGTATGTTTCTTATTGACCCCAGTGGAAAGAAGGTCTCTTCACCACAGAAAATGAAACATCAATGTCACTTTGCATGGTAAATGTCTCCCACAGCGTCCGCCTCTGGGTTTAGGAAAAGTAGGGTATCAATAGACAGCTAAAGAAGGAGTTGCTGGCCGGCTACTGCCTACAAGAAGAAGTGTGTCAAGGATATTTCATCCCCATTTTCAAGAATTTTTGCCTATAGGACTCCCAGGAGCACAGGAGCCCACTACAAGGAAGGTTATACAAAGAAGTCTCTCTGTGATAAGAGCAACAGCTGCAAAGATGGCGGCTCACTACCTCCATAGTGTGGTCGGTTCATGCAACCCCAGACGCTAACCGAGAGTGCCTGCCTTTCCCATGGGAAGGATGTGAAGACGGTCCCAGGAGGCACGCCCTCTACATTTCCGGGAGTCAGGCTTTCAGAGGGGACTGGAAGAACGTTTTTCACAGTTTGGCAAAAGATTGTCTTAAGCACTGTTGATTGATTGTCTCTGCCCCCATCAATGTTGTGATTATCCAAGAGATATAATAAAGGGCTCTCTTTATCACAGTTACTTATAATGTGCCCTTTTCCTAACTGCCCAGCATTCTCTACTAGATGTGCCAGAATTCCTCCAGTGGGCCCACCGGGAACATGCATGTGATGTCAGTTCTGTGGAAAGTGCCTGACTTTGCATTTCTGGTGTGCCAGCATCCGCTAAGATCTTGTAGGAATAATCACAATTTGCATCCTCAAGAGGTACCATAACTCAAGGGGGAGACAAATATTGAAATTAATAGGATCAGTTGTGATACGTGCTATGATAAAAGCAGAGACTTCTCCCAGATTCTCTGTTTCAGGCATCCATAAAATTACAAATGTAATACAGCACAAACTGGCCATCATTTACCTTGTCAAGAAAGTTATTAAATAAAATCTGTCACAATCACCACCATTTCATAAAATAAAGGTTATTGTAACACAAAAGACTAAAAGCTTATGGTATCAAAGAAGAAAGATAGTTCCTTACTTTTCTAAGTTCTGATGGAGGAAATTTTTACGTTAAAAATTTCTGACACTTTATAATATGCAACTTTAAAAATACAAGTTTGTGATTTTGTTTCGAATTTGGGAACCTATATTCAACAGTGTAATAACAAATGGAGCTGGAATGTTCAACTTTTTCCAGTAACATATTTATCACAGTCATTTCAGAAAATTGTTTCACATAGATTTAATGGTGAAAATTGAAGCAATATTCCTAACGATATTCAGGGTGTTCAGCACCCATATTCCAGGTAAACTGGCATGAATTAAGGCTCTCATTCCTGTAGCTACTTTTTCCTTAAAGATCTGGTGTTCCTCCATCAAAAATGTGTATGAGAGTGACTTCAGGTGTCTCTTGTTAGGCAGTCCCTACGCCTGGGGCTGTGTCACTCAAGGGCTGTAATCACCAACAGGGAGAATTGAGGAATTTTTTCTAAAAGAGATGCCACATATTAATAAAAATGTCTTGGATCTACACAGGCCTACTCCCTGGATGTTGGGAATATCTAGTATAATCTTGAATTTACTCTCAGGAGTAAAGGCTGATTTCAAGGAATATTTTTTAAGTCTGTGCATCTTCTCAGGGCCTACAGACCAGACCGGCTACCGGTTGTTGATGTCAACATTCCTGCAACACTGAGTCAGGTACCTGACTGTGATGGATGTGTCCTCAGTCTGAATTCTCTTGGGAAACTTGAGGACAATTCCATTTTTCATGCATTATTTTCTTGTCATTCTCTAAAGTCAAAACACTGGGACAATCATCCCTTCCCAGACCCTCATTCCCACAGTGCCCAGCCCTTCCCACCCTTGACCAAGCTCTCATTATCTTCCTTTCTCCGTCACCTTTCAACTTGGAAGATTTGTTCCTTTACGTTTGGTTAAGATGCCTAATTCTTCCCAGGAAACTCTCCCTTCCTCTGGTTTTTCTCCTTTATTCTTGCAATGAGGAAATTTATATTAGCATGTTTCTCTAATGATGAACCAATCTTTCATTGTGGAATAAACCAAATATGGCCAGGGTATGTTAGATTATACTTCCCAAAATTTGGTTAACTATTTTATTTAAGATTAATGCTTCCAGGCACAGTAGCTCACGCCTGTAAACCCAGTTTGTTGGAGGCTGAAGCAGGGGGATCACTTACGGACAGGAGTTGGAGACCAGCCTGGGCAATGTAGCAAAACCATTATCCCTAAAATTTTTTTTTTAAATTTAGCCAGGCATGGTAGCACATACCTATAGTCCCAGCCATTTGAGAGGCTGAGATGGGGAAAATCACTTGAGCCCAGGAGTTTAAGGCAGCAGTTAGTATGATCATTCCCCTGAACTCCAACCTCAGTAACAGAGCAAGATTCAGTCCCTTAAAAAATTCAAGTATATACGCTTACAAGTGAAAATAACCTATAATTCCCTTTATTGCCATTCCCCTGTTTTTTTTCGTTTGTTCTGTTTTTTACTTAAAAAATCAGGGTTACAATGGCTTTTAAAAATGAGTTGGGAAGGTGAATATGTATATCCTACTTTCTAAAAGAGCTTTGCATAAGTTTGGAAATAATTGTTCCTTGAATGTTTGTTAGAATTTCCTCATAAAACCTTTGCGAGTCTTGTTTGTTTTTTGTTTGTGGGAAGATTTTTAGGAACTTATTTAATTTCTTTAAAGATCATATTTTCTTTATCCTCTTAAATCAATTCTGGTTATTTGATTTTTCCCTGGAAGTCTTATCCTTACATTTTCAAATATACCAACCTAAAGTGTTCGCAGGTTTGCTTATAACTGTTTTAATCTTAGCTACATCTAGAGACATGCTCCTCTTTTAAATTCCCAGTATGGCTTATTTTGTGCATTCTGTTTTATTCTTTTATTATTATTATTATTTTTAGACAAATTCTCCCTCTGTCACCCTGCCTGGAGTGCCGTGGTGCAAACGTAGCACACTTCAGCCTCAGACTCCTAGGCTAAAGCAATTCTTTTGCCTCAGCTTCCAGAGTAGCTGGGACTACAGTCATGCAACACCATGCTCAGCTAAGTTTTTTAGTTTTTGTAGAGATGGGGTCTTGCTATGTTGCCCAGGCTGATCTCAAACTCCTGGGCTCAAGCAGTCCTCCAGCCTCTGCTTGCTAAAGTGCTGGGATTACAGGTGTGAACCACTGTTCCTGGCTCTGTTTTATTTTTGATTAATATTTTCAAGGATTTGTCAATTCTAGTAGTCTTTTTGGAAACCAGGTTTTGGATTCTGCTGATTCTGCTGATGCTTCTTTTCCATTACATGAAGTTCTGTTCTCATATTCATGATCACCTTTTTCTATCTTCTATGGATTAATTTTTTAAAAAAACTGCAGGATAAGGTGGATACTTAGGTCATTTGTTACAGTCTGTCTTCTCTCTTAGTAAAACATTTAAAGATAGCAGTGTTTAAGTATCTTCTTAGCCAAATCCCACAAGTCTTAATTAGCATTGCTATTAGAATTCAGTTCTAGTTATTTTTAATTTTTAATTATGCCTTTTAGTCTCCTTTAATTAGAAAGTATTCTTGGTCTTTCTTTGTCTTTTATGACCTTCGCACTTTTGAAGAGTAAAACTCAGTGATTTTGCAGCCTTTCCTCAATTTGGGATTTGTTGTGACCTTTTCTTTAGGTGTTCTGCACTTTAACCATGATGGATTTAGGTGCTGATGTCATTCAGTTTTTTTTCTCCTTAGAATTCACTGGACTTCCTAAATTGGAGCTTCATTAAGGATCAGTGTTCTTAAATAATTCTGGAAAATTTTTGGCCATTACATCTCCAAATATTTTCTTGCCCCTACCTTCTCTATTGTCTCATTCTGGAACTCTGATTAGACATATGTTGGACTTCCTCACTCTATCCTCCATGGATTATTCTCTCAGTTTTTCATCTCGTTGTTTCTTTATGGTGCGTTCTGAATACGTTCTTCTGATTTTCTATATCACTAACCTTTTCTTCAACTGTGTCTGATTTGTTTGTCTCATATGTTGGTTGTTGTATCCATTAGTGTCTTGTTATGGAAACACAGTGGCTTAAAACAACATTTAGCATTCATCATAATCTTCTGGATTGGGCGAATTGTTCCCCTGGTCTGAGATCAGTTGTTTGGTTTCTGTAGTCAACCAGCAGCTCTGTTGGGTCTCACATGCCTAAGAACACCTCACTCAGATGTCTGGAGGTTGGCTTGATATTAGCTGGAGTATTGGGGATCACTCAGCTGTGTCTTTCTCATCATCAAGCAGGTTAGCCTGGGCTCATTGACACAATTGTAGGTGCAGGGTTCCCAGTAACATGAAGAGAACAACCCTAATGTGTAAGCTGCTTTTTAGTCTCTGCTTAAATCATGTCGGCTCTTGTTCTATTGGACAAAGAGTGTCAGATGGCCATGCTCAGAGTCAATGTGAAAAGGGACTACCTGAGAACATAGACATGGTGAGGAAATTATTTGGTCACTTTTACACATATTATGCCATACTTCTGCCCAGAATTTTTTCTAAATTCAGCTACTATATCTTTCATTTCTAGAACTTGTATTTGGCTCTTTTTCAAATGACTCTTATTATTTAGATAGTCTTTTTGGTTCCCTTATCATTACTTTTAATGTCTACTTTTATTTCTTTAAAATACTAAATATTCTGTCTGCACCAGATAATTCCAATATCTGATTAGAATAATTAAGTGAATTTTCATTTCACGTAAATCACACTCATGGCAATCTGTTTCCTCATGAGGCTAGTCCTTTTTGAATGTGACTTTGAGTTCCTTGGAACTTTAACCGTATGAGTTCTTAGATGTCTAGGCTTAAAGAGTACATTTCCAGAGAGATTTGTATTTGATCCATAAGATCCCTTAGAATATCTTCACGTAAAAGAACTTTAAACTTACTTGGGATTTTGTGACGCCCTCAGGACATGTGAATGCAGTCCCTGTACCCTCATGAGGATGGCATGTGGTTAGCAACCCTCAGAGGAGAATCCCCTTTCCCCATCTGTCCACAGTCAAGATGTGACAGGCTCATTTGCCCCCCTTCTGTCTTGCATAACAGATTTTCCTAATTTAGCCAATAAATTCCTTCTTTTGGAAGTCTTTGCATTAAGTATGTATTTCTAACTTGACTTTATTTCCTTTTCAAATCTCAACTTTTATTCCTTATCCTTGTTTTGGGGGACATGTTAAAAACTCATACTGTAAGCCACCAGGAGGGGGAAGAACCTGTAGGACAAATTCTGGCTCCTACATTCTTTTACCTTTATGATTTCACTTTTGATTAAATGTCTTGGACCTGAAGAAGTTCCTACTTGCATACATCTCATTCATGTATGTGAATGCATAATATACCAGGAGGTGTTCTCTGAACCTTTGCTCATCAGCTATCTAAAAACAGAATTTTATATATGCTTTTCATTCTGGTGTTGTGTAGTCAGTGATATTGTTATGGACTGAACTGTGTTCTCCCAAAATTCATATGTTGAACTACTAACCTTCAGTGTGACTGTACTTAGAGATAGAGCCTTGAAAGAGGTATTTAGAGTTAAATGAGGTCACAAAGATGGGGACTTATCCAACAGAACTAAAGTCCTTTTAAAAAGAGGAAGGGACGGCTGAGCGCAGTGGGTCACGCCTGTAATCCCAGCACTTTGGGAGGCCAAGGTGGGCAGATCACAAGGTCAGGCGATCAAGACCATATTGGCTAACACGGTGAAACCCCATCTCTAATAAAATACAAAAAATTAGCCAGGCATGATGGCAGGCACCTGTAGTCCCAGCTACTCGGGAGGCTGAGGCAGGAGAATGGTGTGAACTCAGGAGGCAGAGTTTGCAGTGAGCCAAGATCACACCACTGCACTCCAGCCTGGGCAACAGAGTGAGACTCCGTCTGAAAAACAAAACAAAACAAAAAAGCAAAAAGAGGAAGGGACACCAGGAGTGCATCCACACTAAGGAAGAGCCATATGAGAACACAGTGAGAAGGTGGCCGTCTGCAAGCCAAGGAGAGGCCTTAGGAGAAGTCATAGCTGCTGACACCCTGATCTTGGACTTCTGGTCTCGAGAACTATAAGAAAATAAATCTCAGTTGCTTAACTAATGTAGCCAGGTAGCCTTTGGTATTTTTTTTTATGGCAACTCTAGCAAACTAAATAATACAGATTTTGGTACCACTGGTGCTACTGTAACCAATACTGAAAAATATGAAAGTGGCTTTGGATCGTGTAATGGTAGAGCATAGGTGAGTTTTGAGGAGCATGTTTAAAAAGACTGGATTGCCTTGTAAAGACTGTTAGTAGAAATATGGATGTTAAAGGTTATTCTGGTGCAGTCTCAGATAGAAATGAGGAACATATTATTGGAAACTAGAATAAAGATAATCCTTGTTATAAATTGGCAAAGAACTTGTCTGAATTGTATTCTGGTGTTCTGTAGAAAGTAGAACTTGTTTGTGCTGAATTTGGATATTTAGCTGAGATTTCTAAGCAAAGTGTTGAGTTATGGCCTGGATTTTCCTTACTGCTTATAGTAAAATGCTAGAGGAGAGAAAGTGAAGAAGGAGAATTGTTAAGCAAAAAGGAACCAGAACTTGAAAATTTGAGAAATCCTCAGCATATCCATATTGCAAAAAATGAGAAAGCATGTTCTAGACAGTACACCAAAAATGTGGTTGGAAAATTGCTTGATAAAAAGATTATAGGTGTAATTCAAGAAGCCATGCAGTCATCTTAGTGGAAGCCAGGGATAGAGATGGGGTAATAGCAGCAGAAATACAGCCAGTTTGCACTGAAGGAGGCAGAGGTGGGGTAAAATGAAGGAAGGCTGCCTGAGTTCCAGCATTCTGCAGGATGGCAAAATGGAGCTATCTGGCTGTGGACATGTGATATGGTTTGGTGCTGTGTCCCCACCCAAATCTCACCTTGAATTGTAATAATCCCCACGTGTTGTGAAAGGAACCTGGTGGGAGGTAATTGAATCAGGAGGGTGGGTTTGTTCCTTGCTATTCTCATGATAGTGAATAAATCTCACGAGATCTGATAGTTTCTTACAGGGCAGTTCCCCTGCACGTGTTTTCTCTTGCCTGCTGCCAAGATGTGTCTTTTTCCTCATTCGCCTTCCACTGTCATTGTGAGGCCTCCCCAGCCACGTGAAACTGTGAGTCCATTAAACCTCTTTCCTTTATAAATCACCCAGTCTCAGGTATGTCTTTATTAGCAGCATGAGAACAGACTAATACAACATGTATTATTCTTCAAGAAGAGGGAAACACGGCCCTAAAAGTGATTCTGAGATTCTCAGGGATGTTTCTCCCACCACAGGCCCAGAACACACAGGTCTGGGGGACAAGCCTGTCTTCCACCTCCTCAGGGTCAGTAGGCCAGGCTGCAACCACTCGGGGCCTCAGGATAACGCTACTCCTCAGCACCACAGATGGGGCTGTCACCCAAACCTGTTGGGGATGCTGCTGCCACTGCAGTCCCAGAAGGTGGAACTTCCACCATGAGGGGCCCATGGGGCAGAGCATCAAGCCAAAGAGGATTATTCTTGAACCTTAAAATCTAATGAGCTTGCCTTGCTAGGTTTTGAACTTGTTTGGGACATGTCACCCATTTCTTTTTTCCAATTTTTCTTTTTTGTGGTGAGAATGTCTATCCTATGCCTGTGCCACCACTGTATTTGGAACACATAACATAGCTGGTTTCATATGTTACCAGCGGGAAAGGAACTTTGCCTCAGGGTGAATCACACCTTATTGCCCACCCATACCTGATTTAGGTGATATTTAGATGAGACTTTGGGGTTAGAGTTGATACTAAAATGGGTTAAGACTTTTGGGGGGCTGTTGGGCTGGAGGTGTTTGTATTTGCATATGAGAAAGTCATACATTTGGGGGTTCAGAGGGCAGAGTGCTATGGACTGAGTTGGGTCACCCTAAATTTCATACATTGAAGCCATAATTCCTAATGTGACTGTATTTAGAGATAAGGCCTTTAAAGAGATACTTAAGTGAGATCATAAGGGCTGCACCCTAATCCAATAAGACTGGTATCCTTATAAGAGGAGAAAGATACACCAAGGCATTGCATACACAGAGGAAAAGCCATAAGAGACACAGTGAGAAAGAGCCTCCGGCAAGCCAAGGAGAAGGGCGTTTGGAAAATCCAGACCTGCTGGCACATTAACATTGAACTTCTGGTTTTCAGAACTGTAAAAAAATTGATTTCTGGTGTTTAAGCTACCTAGCCTGTGGTATTTTGTTATGGCAGCCATAGCAAACTAATATAGATGTCTCCAGCACTGCCTGAAAATCTTTCTACAAAAACATAATAGTTCATTTTCCCATTGCCTGCAGTATAGACTTCTAGTTTTGCTGTTGTCTTCCAGATCCCTATGCCAAAGGCATAAGGGTCCATAACTCCCCACACCACCTACCCATTTTTCTGTCCATATAAACTTCCTTTCATATCTGGCCTAGAGACTTGCAATCCTTTACCTCAACCACTGTCTTGCCTTTGTCCTCAACCATCACAACCACCTCTCGTGAATCTCCAACCCCGGAATAATGCAGCATCCACGATTTCTAACCCCTCGCCAACATCATAATGATCTTAGTCAGTGGATACTGCTTGAAAAAATCTAACTTGGTAGCTGGCCTTCCCACTTCCAGTCTCCCTCCCTCCAATCCATTCTTGACTTGCTACCTCCAAAGTGTGGCTTCTAGAAGACACCAGCCACATCATTCCCCTGTGTAAAATCCTTCAGGGACTTTGCAAGACCTAGCTACTCGCTTCACCTCTATAGTTCCATCTTTACTCAGTTCCCTGATTACATTCTATGTTCTGTTCATTCCAAATGAATTCCAGTTCCCAGAACCATCTAAAACCCTCTTGTCTCTCTGTGTTTGCCTATTTCACTCCCTTAGCCTGGGCAGTCCCTCCTGTCTGTCCCTTCACACTTGCTCTTGTCTTCTGGCGGGCTCCACCAAGTGCCCTGTAGCTCAGCCCATGCCTCACCCGGGGGAAGCATTTCACAGATTCCCTAGTCTGGGCTGGGTACCTTGAGTTCAGAATGCCTTGGCGCACAAGCATTCTCTGTGACCTCATCATGCTGCTTTGTAGCCATAGGTTTATCTGTCTCTTCCTTTAGGAAAGAGTATCTTATTTGTCTGTATTCCCAGTGCCAAGCAAAAGGCTTGGCATAGAGTAGGCACTGAATAAATGATTGCTAATTAATGGGTGAGTGAGTGGAACCATTGGAACACGTGACAATGGAGCCACAGTCATTCGGAAAGAAACTAGCAACCACAAGGTGCGCCGTCAGCCACACCCCATCACCTGAATAAGACGGGCAGAGACATGGCTTTGCCATTTACAGTGCATCACCCCCACGGTCCTGTTGAATGGGCTGCCACAGCCGTCCACATAGAGTCTTCCACTCTAGGCTCTTTGTTTAATTACATATGCCTCCCAGCCTGGCAATCCTGATAACGTTTATTCCATTTTTCTCCTAAAACACATCTATAATTCTGTCATGTATGGAATGCATGTATTTATTGTGGTTATTGTTTATTTTCTGGGTCCTCTTACCCAATAGTGAGTCTCATTCAAGGCAGGGTCTTTGTCTCATCCCCTGTTGTATCCCAAACACTTAGAACAGTGCCTGCCACACAGGGAGTTTTCAACACACATTTGTTGAGTAAGTGAATTTTCAGACTTTTTTTTAAAAAGCCTGAGATTCATGGATGTGATTCACTTAAGGTTACCCATATGGTTTCGAGTGAAACTGTGCATGGAAGGTGTCAGAACTAAATCTATAGCTGATGGCAAAAAGTGTTTTCATCAACTAACCCACATTTTAGGTGACCAACTTTCTTGTGCAAATGTACAAATTAACACTTACTTTAAAAAAAATCAAGAAGGTATGCGCACTCCTACAGCCTCCGTACTAGCTCTCTTTGTTCAGCTTTCATTCAGGTAGCTGGGTTCTTACGGCAAGAGATCAAATTTGACGAGATTCTCATGATCTCACTTAGAATTATGAGCAGCATAAGGAAGGAGCAGGTGCGAGAAAGAAAGGTGATGTTAATGTGTGCCTGGACATCTCAAGTAGCGCGGATGACTGAAACCCCTCTAAGTTCCTGAATTTTAAAAGCTTCCCCCACCATTATCACCATTAATCTGGGTTCCATGCACTTGACGTTTGAAGTGTGCAGTCCATGATACCTCAAAAACGAAATGGTTAACAGCAACACCCTGAGGTAGCTCCCTAACTTCTGCTTCCTGGTGAATGTTTAATGGTTTTGCACAGAAATAACCATAATATGTATCTACCTATTATTTATACATACATATGTATGTATAAGCATATGCACACACACAGAGGCATACATACACACATACATGCATATGCATATAGGCTTGCACAGGGGCATACACACACATGCATACATGCATGCGCATACATGAATTTATGGTCTTGCTATTTCCAGCTTGATTTTGAAGCAAAGTGTTATCAGTCCACTTTCATTCTGCTGATAAAGATATGCCCATGACTGGATAATTTATAAAGACAGAGGTTTAATGGACTCACAGTTCCACATGGCTGGGAACTGTGAGATTGTGAGAACATGGCTTTACAATCATAGCTGAAGGTGAAAGGCAAGAGAGAATGAGAGCCAAGTGAAGGGAAATCCCTCATAAAATCATCAGATCTCGTGAGACTTATTCACTACCAGAACAGTATGGGAGAAATTACTCCCATGATTCAATTATCTCTTACTGGGTCCCTCCCATAACACATGGGAATTTTGGGAACTATAATTCAAGGTGAGATTTGGGTGAGGACACAGCCAAACAATAACACAAGAAGTATTTGATTTTTTTTCTCCCAAAAGAGGCTTGAAAGTTTCTTCCAGAGCCTGGGCGCAGTGACTCATGCCTGTAATCCTAGCACTTTGGGAGGCGAAGGCGAGCGGATCATGAGGTCAAGAGATTGAGACCATTCTGGCCAACATGGTGAAACCCCATCTCTACTAAAAATACAAAAATTAGCCAGGCATGGTGGTGGGTGACTGTAGTCCCAGCTATCTGGGAGGCTGAGGCAGGAGGATCGCTTGAACCCAGGAGGTAGAGGTTGCAGTGAGCAGAGATTGCACCACCACACTCCAGCAAGGTGACAGAGTGAGACTCTATCTCAAAAAAAAAGTTTCTTTCAAAAGTCAAAGCACCTGTGTGACATGACAAGGAGAACAAAGAACACAGCTGAGAATCAAGCTCAGAGGAGACTGCTCAGCATACAAGAAGCTGCAGCGTTGCGTAGGCATCTGTCAACCACTAACACTGGGGCAGCAGGTTGAAGAGTCGTCCCCCCAAAGATACCTCCACCTGGAACCTCAGAATGTGGCCTTTTTTGGAATAAGGGTCTTTGTAGATATTTTTGCAGATTAAGGCAAGGATCTTGAGATAGGATCATCCTAGATTAAGGGTGGGCCCTAAATCCGCTGACAGGTGACTAATAAGAGGCAGAAAATGAGACGCAGAGACAGGCACAGGGGATCAGGCCATGTGAGGATGGAAGCAGTGATGGGAGTGATGCAGCCACAAGCCCCAATGCCAAGGCTTGCCAGCAACACCAGAAACTGTGAAGGGTAGGTAGAATCCTCCCCTGGAGACTTTGGAGGGAGTGTGATCCTGTCCATACCTTGGTTTTTGACCTTTGGTCTCCAGAATACTGAGAAAATCAATTAGTCTTGTTTTATGACACGAAAATTATGGCGATTTGTGCGGCATCCCTATGAAACAAACACAACAGATGACCAGAATTTGCCATACGTTTCGAGGGGAAGTCGACCTTCCATAAAATAAATCCTCTACTGATAACTCAACACTTAAAGTGTGAAACATCACTGGATCTGAGATCACAGAGGTACAAAAAGTAGGCCCTCAGAAAGGAGCAGGAACATAATCCAGTACACGACTCAGTGATCAACATGAATTGTGTTTCTAGTGGAGTGAGAAGTGTTGATGGGGGTGAATTATGACTAAAAAGGGGGAGAAGGATCAAGGTTATCCGGGAGAAGTAAATGGATTTAAATTGTTAAATTCAGGAGCACAGTAGAGGTTAACTGTCTTTGAGAGAGGGAAAATGGACACCACAGTGGAATGCTTTGTTTCCTTTTAAGCACGAAAGTAAAGAAGCTGCCCCCAAGTAAAAGTGCAGCTCTCCCTCCCGTGCTGCGTAAACTCCTCTCCCATTTCTCCTGGCAACAAGACCCCTACTTCCTTACAGTAACATTATAAAGATAACAGGGTCGGACACACATGTATCTAATTTTGCTCCACCTTGTCTCTTCAGGAAAGCCCAGGAAGGATTTTGGAGGTTTGTGCCACAAAGAATGATATTATGAAGGGGAAGACATGCCTTGTATGTAGAAGGTTTGAAATGAGCCCCAGCTGTCTTGAGAGTCCTTCCAGGGCCGGGGCACCCACTGTGTCTGTTGCGGAATCGCTGCTGAGTTATAAGCTAGGTGATTGTGTGTCCCCTTCTTGTTTCCATTTATTTGAACACAACTTCTTGGAAGGAGAAATCCAAAGTCTGCAGTTTTCAAAGGGAGCAGTGGCTGAGATGCTCCTGCTACCTACATCAGGGCTCATGTTGCCGGATGCAGCCACACTTCAGCTGCTCTGCTCTCCTTGCCGTGGAGAGGTGTTCAATCACCACAATCACTGTTCTGCTCTGATAAGGAGCTGGGGAAGGGAGTGAGTACCTGTGATGATTAATACTGAGTGTCAACTTGATTGGATTGAAGGATGCAAAGTATTGTTCCTGGGTGTGTCTGTGAGGGTGTTGCCAAGGGAGAATATCATTTGAGTCAGTGGACTGGGAGAGGCAGACTCACTCTCTATCTGGGTGGGCACCATCTAATCAGCTTCCAGCAAGGCCAGAATAAAAACAGGCAGAAGAACGTGGAAAGACTAGACTGGCTTAGTGTTCTGGCCTCCATCTTTCTCCCATGCGATACTTCCTGCCCCTGAACATAGGACCCCAAGTCTTTAGCTTTGGGACTCGGACTGGCTTCCTTGCTCCTCAGCTTGCGGATGACCTACTGTGGGACCTCACCTTGTGATCGTGTGAGTCAATACTCCTTAATAAACTCCCCTTTATATATACATCTATCCTATTAGTTCTGTTCCTCTAGAGAACGCTGACTAATACAGTACCCACTGCGAGGCCTTTGTAGGCGGTTCATAAATATGTACAATAAAGGCCATACTCTTCTTATGCAGTCACCCTTAATGAATCATTTTGTCTTCTTCCTACAGTCTGGATAGACAGCAATGAACTATGCCATGCTGTCTACTAATGTTGGACCTGATGGGCACCATCTGACTCAAGATGTTTGTTGACGTTCAGTGTGGGCAAAGCTAGTGAGCAGCCGCCCCTTAGAGCTCCGTCTAGGGCTGTGCTGTGAGTTGGTGTGCGAGACCTTTCAGACCCACAAGGCGGCGTGGGAAGAAGAGCATGGGCTGTGCGGTCAGCCCACCATGCATTCTAATTTTGCCTCTGCCATGGGCTAAGACAGAATCTTAGAAAACAGAAGTGCTGTGTCTCGGTCTCCTTATCGCTGAAGTTAGAATGATTCTTAGTGCATATTGCTTTTCTGAAAATCTAATAATGACTATCAAGGACTTAGTGGGCACTCAAAATAAAAAATACCCTAAGAGCAAGGGAGAATGAACACAAGCTGTTGCCAGCCTGGAGGGAATCTACCAAATTCCCTATTTTTAAATGACGATTTATCTGATGGCTCCTATATTTATCTTGAAATTGCGTGTGCATTTCGCAGTCTGCAGCATGATTCCTCCTCGAGGACAGGACTTCTCCTGCAGCCGCCCCAGTGTCTGCTTTCTCTCCACACTTCTCACCCTACGTCTAGGGCAGAGGAAGATATCCAGCTTCATCCTCTTCGCAAACTCCAGCTTACATTCCCTCCTACTCTGGTGGATCCACAGTGTCCTACCCATCCCTGGCATAGTTAGCTACAGAGCCCAAATCACCTGCCATCCTTCCAGGGAGATGGCCACTTCTAACTCATGGCTGCTTTTCCAGCACAACACCTGCCCTTATAATGGGATTTCCTCTGATTTTCTCCAGATATCCAATCAGCTGTACATTGTTTCTCCCGATTGCCACAGCGATATAGCTGAGGGTTCTGTTCCCAGTCCCCATCTTACGTGGTACCTTCAGTCCAAGAAAAGGCGGGTTAGAAACACGAGTATCTAATTTGCTCTACCTTGTCACTTCAGGAAAGCCCAGGAAGGATTTTGGAGGTTTGTGCCGCAAAGAATGTCATCATGAAGGGGAAGACATGCCTTGTAGGTAAAAGGCCTTACTCCACCTAGGTTCCGGGGCACTATTCTCTGGATTCTCTTCTTGCCCCTGACTCTACCTTCAACCTCTCAGTGTTGGAGGGCCCCATATCTCCAGCTTCTGATCTCTCTTGGATCTGTACTTACTCCTTCAGTGATGTCATTCAGCCCAATGGCTTTGAGACAATAAATACTAGGTATTTACATTCTGATGACACTCAGACTCATTTCTCTTACCTGAAGTTCTTTTCTGAAATTCAGACTCTTGTATCTCATTCTGAACCCAACATATCCACTTGAAGCTTTAATAAGCATCTTAAACTAAATATGTTGTATCATTTTATTTTCACACTGCTATAAAGAACGGCCCGAGCCTGGGTTAATAATAAAGGAATAAGGTTTAATTGACTCAGAGTTCAGCATGGCTGAGGAGGCCTCAGGAAACATACAATCTTGGTTGAAGGGGAAGCAAGGCACCTCTTCACAAGGTGGCAGGAAGGAGGATGAACGCAGAAGGAACTACCAAACACTTATAAAACCATGAGATCCAGTGAGAACTCACTCACTATCATGAGAACAGCATGGGGGAAGCCACCCTCATGATTCAATTACTTCCAGCTGGTCTCTCCCTTGACACATGGGGATTATGGTGATTACAGTTCAAGATAAGATTTTGGTGGGGACACAGCCAAATCATATCATATATCAATTCCTGATTCTGCTTCTGTTCTTTTGCCCTCCCTGCAAGCCCCTGGACATCTCCATTTCTGTTAATTGGCAAGTCTATCTTCACATTGGCCAAGGCCAAATCCTTAGAGTGACCTTTGATGCCTCCATTTTCCCACACCTAGGATGACCAGCTCCTTCTAGTTTGCCCAGGACTTCCTCAGTGTCACACTGAAACTCCTATGTCCCAGGAAACTCTTCAGTTGTAGGTCAATCAGATGGTTGGTCAACAGACTCAATTTCAACAAGAAAAGCTCTTCAGTTTGGCTTTCAAAAATATTCAAGAGTCCAGATATTTTTCACAACTTCTACTGATGCCATCATTATCTGAACTACTGTCATCTTATTGCCAAAGTGTCCTATTTTTCAAACTTTCCTTCTTCCTCTCTTTTCACCTACAGTCTATTCTGAGCAACCAGTCACACTGCACTTCTTAATGCTGCCCGAATACTCCAGGCAGGCTCCAGCTCAGAGCCTTGGCGCTTGCTGTGCCCTCTACTTGGAACATTCTTCCTGCAGTTCCTGGCATGGTTTGCTCTCTCCCTTCCCAGCTATAATTAAATAGCAATTTATGAGAGAGACCTTCTCTGATCAAGCTGTAGAATATAGCAAAAGTTCCCTGGACGCTGCCTAAGACTCCATCCTGCTCCATTGTGTTATATGGCACACGCTGTCTGGAGTCCTATACATTTTCTTACTTGTTTGTGGTCCATTCTCCTCCACTGCTCTCCCCCTGTGAATGACATTTCATATAAGCAGGGTCTTTGCTGACTTAGCCCAGTTCTGTATCCCCAGTGCTTAGAACAGGGCCTGGAACATAGTGTTGAGTGAATATATATGTTTGTCTCTCTACAATGCTGTTTGGAGTTTCCATCAGGTTAAGTGAATGTTCTGGGCACCTTACCTGTCCTCTGGCTTCCTCACACCTTGGCTCCTGTCTGTGCTTCCAGCAGAGTGAGTTTGAAAAGCAAGTCTTTATGTGGATGTAAACAGAAGCTTACATGAGAGGAGCAGAAAAGGATGCTCTGCCTGAAGTTTCCCCTTGATGTGGATCCTATGTAAGACCCTGGAAAGGGAAGGAGGCCCTTACCTTAACCCCTGGGTTCGAGTCTGGAGGTTAAGGCTTGGACTGTTCTGTGCCTCTCTCGTTTCTTATCCTCTGCTGGAAACTCTTTCTAATTGTGTGTTTCAACGTTTGTCTCTTCCCTGCAGAAGACAAATCTGCAGGATAAATTCTCTTTCTTATTTACCCCGGGAGTTATCGTGGGGCCCACAAATAGTGCTTGTTGCAAAAAATGCTATGAAATAATATTTTGGAAGAGGAAAGCACAACGAAAGAGCAGCAGAACTTAGCAGAAAATGGCCGAGGGAAGGAAGGGGGCACGGTTGCCTTGTCTGGTGTCACAGCTGGCATGTGGAGCCTGGCAGTGTTGGGAAGGCAAGGGGAGCCGCAGTTGCCTGGGTTTGCCTGTTAGAGCTTAATTGACTGCGTCTCCTGCCTGCGGGCTTTAGCAAAGGAATGTTTTCAGCCCAATTAGCCTCCAGTTTCCTTGGATTTGGTTTTTTGATATTCAGCCTCATCATCTGTGGTAGGGATGATGCATAATTAGTGAAGCAGTGGTGAATCACTCTCCACAGAGGTGGATCTCTGCCTCCTACGGAGGGTTCTAAGAATAGTTGCTGCAGACATGTTGTTCTCAAAGAACAAAAACTAAACACTTTGTCTATAAAGATTCCTCTTGGTGCCTAACAAGAAAGCATGATGAGAATCAGAAAATAGTTCTCCAGCATTTGACCTATGCACTGGAGATCCTGGGGAGACTGAAGAGGCCATTCCCACAGTCTCACAATGCATATTTTTTTATAAGAAAAGAGCATTGTAGTTTGTTGTAGATTTTGTAGGCAAAAAAGTTATACTCTTTTACTTTTTGTACAACTTTCAAAAGATTTTTGTAAAAGATAAGTGAGTCAAAAGCATGCTGCTACTGCTTTCCTATCAGCTACTCACCTAATTAGAGACAAGTACTCCATTTTTCTAACATATTTAACTCTTCAAACATTTATCATTTTTCAGTCAGTTAGTAAGTCCTTCACCAAATGTTTAACTGAGAATTGCCGTGTACCAGATGCTATGGGAGACACAGAGTTGTGTAAAAACTTCCCGGAGTTGTCCTCTGTGAACTGCAAGCTAGTAAGAAAAGAAGAAGTTAATGCAACTAACTCCAAAAAAAAAAAAAAAAAGAAAGAAAGAAAGAAAGAAAAAAGGGCAGAAAATTGAGCAATCAAAACATTTACTCCAATTCCTGGGAATGTGATTTTTTGCTGAGCCTTTACCCTAACAATGTAGTGCAATGAGAAAACATCTGAGGAGAAGGTATGGAGTTTTAAAAATATACCTAAAAGACTTTAAAATGTTAGAAAATTGTGACATTTTCTACTCATGTGGACATGTACATCTATGCTTATTTTTCTGAATCCTGTGTGTTTATTTACTAACTCAACAAGCATTGAGTATGTAATATGTGTCAAGCTCTATGCAACATTCTGGCAAAAGTACATCTGTGCATTCATGATGTCTCTGTGCAGTGGAGGGTGATAGCACGTGTGTCGTTGAATGAGTTAATATGAGAGGTTATTGAAAAGAGGTGGGTTAAGGTGCTGTGTGAGGAGAAATGAAACCTTGGGAGAATGTTTCCAGAAAAAGGAAGGCTTGAGCTGGGTCTAAAATAATAGTAATAAAGATACTATCTAATACTTAATGAATAATATCATTGAATTGATATATTAATTGATATTATCAATAATGTCATTGATAATGATAAAGATACTATCTAATACTTCATTATTAGATAATATCTAATAATAAATGATTTCTAAGTGCTTTTCCTTCACTATAGTGCTTAACCACAACACGTCTTTTCAGTGAGTATGGATATCCACAATTTACAAGGGGCTAAGGCAGGAAGACTAAGCAATGTGTTCAGCTTGTAACTGATGGCACTGGTATTTAAAACCGGGTCTGATAGATTCCAAATGCTGCTCTCTTAACAGTGCCAATCCTCTCCCAAAGAGAGGAATTTAGCCCCTGTCATGGGAGAGTATCAGTTTGAGCCCCAGACATCGGCAGGGACACATACATGCCTGGTGGCAGGTGGGCCCAGGCTACAGAATGAAGACCCTGGCTGTGCCATGAGGCTGGGGTCCAAGGAACATATACGAAGGGTATGGATGACGTGATACTGAGGTGCGGCTCCATCAACCTGGAAGCTGCTGAAAATTTTAGGCAGTGTACAGGTTGCCGGACTTCAGTAACTTTGAATTACTTGTTTTAACAGCAATGTGTAAGTGTTTCTGACAGTAGGAGCCTGCAGGAAGGGGTGGAGCGGATGTGCCTTCCCCAGGCCATCCTTCCCTGTAATTCATTCTCTCAACTTGCTGTGGTCCCAGTTGGAGTGCAGAGGCTCTCAGGAAGCAAACCCAATTTTCCAACAAGCCCATTGATCTATGCAATAATGAGTGTACGTTTTTCATTTTTACTCCATTAAACTTTTATAACAAAGTGTTTCATTTGTCTTTGTCACTGACAGATATGATCCACTTTCACATTTTAGATTTCTTCATCAGATGTTAAGGGTACCCTGCATTGCTTTATTTAGCATACCAAAATGTGCTGTTTCAAGGAATGTCAGCCTGGGGATTAACTCAGGGAGGCCCCTGCCATCATAGACAGAGCTCAGGACCACAGGACCCCCTTTTAGATCCAGATCCACAGTGAGCAGCTGTGCAGATGAAGGCAACACTTCATCTCCCTTATATTGCTCACAAGTATAAAAAAGTCTGACAGCACTTTTCTCAATATTTGAGGATTCAAGGAGATGATAATGAGATAGGGTATATTAACTAAATCAGTTTGTAAAACAAAAATAAAATTCTAAGCCCCTCAACCGTCAGAGTGGACCTCCTCTCAGCCAAGGGAATTCCAAAGTTAACCTAAAAACTAGTCCAGGCCCTGATGGAAAGGGGGCATTGAATTTGCTTCATTATACCATCCTCCTTTTCAAATGCAGGTCCAGCTGACCAGTGTTAACATCAACACAGACCTTAAGACTAAGAGAACAGATCCTTTAAGTCTGATAAGAGACATTTACAATCTATTATCTCAGAAGCCTGCTACCTGGAGGCTTCATCTGCTTGATAAAATCTTGGTCTCCACAGCCCCTTGTCTGAACCCACACATTCCTTTATATTGATTCCAGTTTAGGCAATAACTCTTTCAACCAATTGCCAATCAGAAAATCTTTGAATCTGCCTATGACCTGGAAGACTTCACTTCCAGTTGTCCCACCTTTCCAGATGGAACCAAAATACATCTTACATGTATTGACTGATGACTTATGTCTCCCTAAGATGTATAAAACCAAGTTCAAGTTGTAGCCCAACAACCTTGGGCACATGTTCTAAGGATCTCCTGAGGGCTGTGTCACAGGCCATTAGTCACTGATATTTGGCTCAGAATAAATTTCTTCCAATATTTTACAGTTTGATTATTTTCGTCAACAAATATACGTTGTTTTTTGTTGTTGCTGTTGTTTTTCTTTTCTTAAAAGAAATGTTAGGGAATGATATGCCTGGTTGTGACGGTTAATATTGAGTGTCAACTTGATTGGATTGAAGGGTGCAAAATATTGATCCTGGGTGTGTCTGTGAGGGTGTTGCCAAAGGAGGCTAACATTTGAGTCAGTGGCCTGGGAAAGGCAGACCCACCCTTGATCTGGGTGGGTACCATCTAATCAGCTGCCAGCATGGCCAGGATGTAAAGCAGGCAGAAAAATGTAAAAAGACTAGACTGACTTAGCCTCCTAGCTTACATCTCTGTCCCATGCTGGATGCTTCTTACCCTTGAACATCGGGCTCCAAGTTCTTCAGCTTTGGGGCTCGGACTGGCTTTCCTGCTCCTCAGCTTGCAGATGGCCTATTGTGGGACCTTGTGATCATGGGAGTTAATACTGCTCAATAAACTCCCATATATGTGTGTGTGTGTGTGTGTGTGTGTGTGTATACACATATATATAATAGAATATATACATATAATAGGATATTATATATATAATATGATAGGAGATATATATATGTGTGTGTGTGTGTGCGTATACACATATATATAATAGAATATATACATATAATAGGATATTATATATATAATATGATAGGAGATATATATATGTGTGTGTGTGTGTGTGTGTGTGTGTGTGTGTGTGTATCCTATCAGTTCTGTCCCTCTAGAGAACCCTGACTAATACTCTGTTTATGAAACAAACCATCTTTGAATGCAATCAACTTGCAGAGTGGCTATGTGTAACTTTTTTGCTTCTTTTCCAGAGATTCCAGAAAATGTTCACAAAATTCAGTAGTAAATTTAAAAATAACTATTAGTATTGACCAGAAGTTACATATAGGAATGGTTTTTGCGGTCTTGGGTAACACAGAAAGGACCCGAGCTGTCTCTGTGTAAAGCCCCTCTTTTCATAGCCTCCCTTTCTATAGTGGAGAGTGCTCATTAGTTGACGGGTGCCTTTCTTCTTAGAGTATGTAGTAGATGCCAACTGTTTTAGTCACCCTGCACTAAGTTACTATCATGCATATGCAAGTTAAAACACTGAGAACACTTGTATGTAATAAATTTAGGCAAATTAGCTCATTCCTTCTTTTCACGAACACTCTCATAAATCAAGCTTTATATACTAGATGCATAGGGATATTGTGTTATCAATATTACATAAATATTGTTACTAATCTATAAATGTAGATTAGGTTTAATGCTAGATGTAATTTACTAAAACAGAGAGCAATTCCCAGTATTAGATTCTACACACACACACACACACACACACACACACACACACACACACACACACACTTTAAATGAGTCTTGCCTCTTGGGCAACATTATCTTAATGGGCAATGCTGTTTCCATTGTGGGTCTGTCCTCAGGGATGCTCTCTATTATGATGCTAAAACCCATCATTGCCATCCCCATTAGCAGTGTAATCCACCTCTTCTCCCCTACCTGGGAAGGTCGCCTACCTGCCTCCAATATTCTGCGGTTATTATCAAACCCACAGTGCAGTACAGGATTGGAAGAGGCACTAGTCATCTGTTAGACCAGATGGATGATCTTTAGTTGTAGTGTTTATACATTTGTAAGACAGGAAACATCTGGGTATTGGAAATACAGAAGGGCTCTTGTTTTTCCCTGATCTAATGACCAAAGCATCTGCTTTAGAATTTGGGGGGATTTGAGATAAACTTCTAAAACCTAAGAATGTTGGTCAGTTTTAATTTCATCAATAATAACCTACTTGTAAATTGAAAACTGAAAGTTTTTCTGTAGGACGCCTTCCAAATTAAGTTAGAAAATGAAATTGATCTTCAGCTCTTGACTCCAAATTCAAGAAAAAGTGAAGGAGCCTTCATTGACGTCTTCTGCTTCTAAGAAAAGAGTTTGACTTGGAAAGGGATGGTTTCTTTCCCTCACTTGAAATCTTCCCTCATGATGTGAGCACTGTCTCTGGCCTCTGAAGGTTGAATTCTGTGGGTGCCTTGTGTCAGCTCTTCTCAGAGGTTCAGATGCTGTCACTCCTGAGTCTAAGGTCAGCCCTGCCTGCCTGACAGACACAACTCGTAATACTCTGTATCTCACACTCTTGGGTTTATTACAGTGAACACTGAATGTTCCAGAGCAGACTCAGGGAAGCCCCACCCTTAACATTCTGTAATATTCAGGTCCAAGGGAGCAGTAATCCCTTTGACAAAAATCTAAACCAGATTTCCTCTTTGGGCTAAGTAAGGTAATACAGCAAATCAGATTCCAGTTCTAAGAAAAACTAAAAGGAACTGGAGAGGCTTCCTGTTTCATTCTCCTCTCTGTGCCCCTGATTTTCTCTGTAGCAATCTCTGGACAAATGACTGTTGTTTCCTTGTAAACTCTCAGCAATAGGGGTACAGTCATTTTTAAAAATATATTCAGATTTTAAGATAAAATGGATAACTTCTTTCTACAATTTTAACATAACTTTATTGCATAATTGTTTTCCCTTCCCATTTGCATATTTATTTTATGTTAGTGATTTTTGCCTAGTAAATGTTTGAAGACATAAAAAGGAATTTTTAGAAACTTTTCTTTTGAATAATACATTTTCATTTAAAATTTCTCTGTGAAATTATTAAGAAAGCAGCACTTATGTGAGTTGTGTGTGTGTGATTTTGGGGAGTGTGCTCAGTAGCACAGAACAAATGAATTAGCTGCATCCTCATTGTACAAAATCCTCGGAGGCAATGACGCTGTCCATGTGCAAAGTGCTGATCTCTGTAGAATACTGTATTCTGCAGCCTCTTCACCTTGTTGTCTGGTGTCTCTGCATACCTTTGTTCTCCTTAAATACCAAATGTCAATGCCATCAATTCACCAAAACAGAGGCCATTCTCACTGCAGTTCAGTGAATTGTATGAAAAAAGAGGAAATTTAAGCAACTTGGGCGTATAAGATGTATGACAGCACACACTACACAAAGCATAAAAGCAGGGTGCTTCACAACACTGAAGAATGGAAGAGCAGGAAAGTCAAAGAAAATAAACGCATTGACTTTCTGGTACCATCTGCATGTAATGATTTCAGGTCTAGTCACCTCCTGAGCCTGTCCATGGAGATAAAGGGCTTCCTGAGGACACTGGAAGGCTAAGGCTCAGATAAAGAGACCCCAGCACTAGCACTGTCTTCCCTGCTGTCCCCTGCTGCCATGGCAATGCAGCTTTGATGGTGCTGAGTTTGGTTCTCTTAGGAGAGTCCAGGGTTTTCAAACATTCCTACGTGTGGAAGTCCAGGGATTGTTCCTGGGATTTCTTACAGAAGAGTAATCTAAACTGAGTGTCTGAGTGCAGAGCAGGAGAAGAGCTTGGTTTCCTTCTCAAGTGTAGCAGAACCCTAGCTGCACAGAGAATGTCACAGGCAGTTGTGTACCCTTTAGAAAACGCAGGGCAGGAGAGTAATTCTTCTAGAGGTTTGTTCCACCTGCCCCTACTCTGTGTTTCCACCTCATTGCTGTTAAGTTTTGTTTTCTGGGGTAAACATGTTGGGGCATATAGCAGTTGGGTATTATTGGTCTTTTCTTGCCCATTTACTGGCCACCTGCAATGTTGCAAGGTCATAATACATTGTTATGACCACATCATAAGTGCAGTGAGAAATGTTTCTGCAAGGGTTGTTGAAATTCTGGAAAGTAACACAAGCTCATGTAGCTGCTTTGGAATACCTAAATTATTATCTAGGCATGTCTTAGCAAAAGTGAGAGATACCTGTCCCATTTGGGATATTTAATGAAAACAAAGTATATTTAAGGTTTTAGTTTTTTATATTCAAGACAGAATTTTAAAATTCCATGAAATAAAAATTAAGGACTAAAATACAATTTGAAGGCATACTGGGATAATTATTTTACATGGTACGAATCCTAAGGTGGGCCAGAAAATGGGCTATTACTGGTCTTGCTAATAATGATAGATGTAGGCTTGATGCCAATTAGAGATTCCTGAGCATGCATAAACTTGGTACATGTCTAAAGATTTTCACACAAAATTTTACTCCACAGAATGAATTTGACCAGAAACAGTGATGTTCTAAATATCTTGGCAGATAAAGGAGGACTGTCATGCAGAAAGGCCCTGGCAACAGAATTTCACCCTCCAGGGTAAAAGTCCCAGGTTACTACAGGAGTAGCATGTGGTTTAATAAAAAAAAAAGTTAGGGTGTACATACAGATATATACTCGTGCATAAGTTTATTAGGAATTTTACTGATAACAAAATATTTATAAATAATAAAATAGGGCCAGGCACGGTGGCTCACGCCTGTAATCCCAGCACTTCGGGAGGCAGAGGCAGGCGGATCACAAGGTCAGGAGATGGAGACCATCCTGGCTAACATGGTGAAATCCCGTCTCTACTAAAAATACAAAAAATTAGCTGGGCATGGTGGTGGGCACCTGTAGTCCTAGCTGCTCGGGAGGCTGAGGCAGGAGAATCGCTTGAACCCGGAGGCGGAGGTTGCAGTGAGCCGAGATTGTGCCACTGCACTCCAGCCTGGGCAACAGAGCGAGAAAATTGAATTTCACAGAAAGCTTGTATTGATTTTTGAAAAAAGTTTGTTTAAGGTGGACAACCTATGGTTGCACTCGAATACCAAGTATAGCTCTGCCATAAACATTGATTAAGATTTTTATTTACATTGGATAACATGAATGTGAAACAACACATATGAGGAACTTCACTAGTTCATTAATGAGGCTTCTTTTGTAAATTGGGAAATGGTTTTGAACACCAGAACAATATTCTCTGATGTTTTGTGCCATTCATAATGTAACAGCAGCAGACAAGACCTAGTTTAAATTTTTACCTTCACTATTGATGTTTTTCAATACTTTCTTATGTTTAGATGATCAATAAAACCATGAATCAAGCCCTGATTTGTAGCATTTACTGATTTCTGCAGTAAAAATTCTCCCAACATAGGTGTCAAGCTACCAGCATGATTTCATTGAGCCAGAGATGGGGAGAGAAGTGCCATAGAGCACCGTTAGACAGTGTTCCCTCCACACACAGCAGTCAACACCAAGGACCTTAACACCACAGATAATAGTGCAGTACTGGAGAATAATTAGAAATAATGGAGAAAATTAATTTTGCATATTGATTGCCTTTGAATTTAATATAATTTAATTGTGACTATATAATTTATTTATTAAAACATCTCTGTTAAGCAACAGACTTGTAAAATTTCTGAAGATTTAACGATCAACTCTGAATAAGAGATTTTGCTCCTGGATACCAAAGTCTGTTAGTTTCCTATCCTAGAAAATCATGGAGAGTGGAGATCTCATTTCCTTGTGTCTTCATCTAATAACCAATTTTAAATAAACATTTACATTTTCTCTGAGATCTAGTACTTACAACTTACATTCTACCGCCCACTTTTATGATGGTTAGAATGCATTTGCTGCAGCTAATGTTAAGGGTGAATGAACAATAAGTTATTGAAGTAAATTTCAAAGAAGCAGCTGCTGATATGCCTTTCAAGTTATTTAGATTCCTCAAAACAGTGCTGTAAACAATAATGAAAGACATTTGGAAAAACATAAGAGGTTTATGAAAATCTACAACCCAATCATTTGCTCTCATGAAAAAACATCATTGTGAATGTTCACATTTAGGTGAGTTCTATCTCAATAACTAGAGGAGGTGGTTTATTACAAGAATACTGCACATAGTTCTGTTTTCATAGTAAGTAAACATTAACTGTAAATGAAAAAGAAAATTCAAATATTCTAGAAAACATCAAAAAAGAGAGTAAATAATACATTTCAGGAAGATCAGTAATTATTTTGGAGGGAACATTTTTTTCTATTACTTTGCAAACTAAATGTAATGATTTGATTTAAATTTCGGGAAGTCTTCTGTGAACATTTGTTTATTATAAGACTACCAAAGATCACTTTGGTGCAGGGTGGGACCTTAGAAACCATCTCATTTCATTTTTGAATATTCATTGACTTTGAGGAGTTAAATTTCTATCAAAATAATTGAACACTGTTCAAATCTACATTGATGGCAGCACCAAAAAAACACAGACCATTTCCAAAAGATATTAATGCAAAATATTTCCATTTTGCCTGCAACATTTACATTTTCCCTCCCCCTTGACTAGCCACAGCAATTGCATCAGATTTCTTTCAGCAAAATTTACATAAAGACCAAAGAAATGGAAAAAGAGAAGAAATTGCAAAGTAAACAGAATTATTTTAGCCTTGCGAAGAGGGGTATCAGCATGTTTTCATGTCTTGACTAAGTCTCAGGATCTAGGATAAAAAAGCAACTTAGAAAGGATTATTTAGGCTGAAAGCAGTGGCTCATGCCTGTAATCCTAGCACTACGGGAGGCTGAGGTGGGTGGATCACCTGAGGTCAGGAGTTTGAGACCAGCCTGGCTAGCATGGTGAAACCCCGTTTCTACTAAAAATACAAAAAATTGGCTGGGAGTGGTGGTGCATGCTTGTAATCCCAGCTACTTGGGAGGCTGCGGCAGGAGGATCGCTTGAACCTGGGAGGTAGAGGTTGCAGTGAGATCATGTCATTGCACTCCAGCTTGGGCAACAAGAGTGAAACTTCGTCTCAAAAAAAAAAAAAAAACAAAAACAAAAACAAAGGGTTATTTAATTCAATTTTTTGACTTTGGGTATGACTATATCTAAAGATTGCAAATAGTATTTTATACCATGTTCTATGTAGACATAGTAACAGGACAATAGGTGATTCACATAATTCAAATAATGTAAGCAAAAGAACTTGTTAAAGAGACAGGTAATAGGGAAGTAGAGATAAAGAGAGACCCCTTGGTCTCCAATTAGGTGGCTGTTTCAAAATCTAGTGTATTAAAAAGAAAAATTTAGGTACCATAAGACCAACAGATCAGAAAACAATTGTCATCGAAAAGATAATTTATTACTCATAGTTCCCAAGGGGAGGGAGCATGCCACACCATGCAGGGCTGCGATAGAGGAGTATCGAAGTGGGTCAAGAAGCAGAGGTGGACGCCGGGCATGGTGGCTCATGGCTATAATCCCAGAACTTTGAGAGGCCAAGGAGGGTGGTTCACTTGAGGTCAGGAGCTTGAGACCAGCCTGGCTAACATGGTGAAACCCTGTCTCTACTGAAAATACAAAAATTAGCCAGGCGCGGTGGCAGGCGCCTGTAATCCCAGTTACTTGGGAGGCTGAGGCTGGAGAATCACTTGAACCTGGGAAGTGGAGGTTGCAGTGAGCCAAGATTGCACCATTGCACTCCAGCCTGGGCAACAAGAGAGAAACTCCATGTCAAAAATAAAATAAAATAAAATAAAATAAAATAAAATAAAATAAAATAAAATAAAATAAAATAAAATAATGAGCAGAGGTGGCAGGAGAACTGTGGACAAGAGCCTTTCTTTTGGCTTCTGAGAAAAGAATGAATTAGACAGGGTAAACTGGCCTCATATTGGCTAGTTTGAATAATTTCAATGGGCTCTGGGCTGTATAGGCTGTCCTTAATTGTCTGATACCTGGTCTTGGGGTTATGATGGGAGACAGATAGTGACCTGGAGTTTGCGAGCCCATAAAGGAGATGGTTGGGATATGGACTTTGGACTGATTAGTTTGTATTTGAAAAGTGGACCTCCAGAAAGAGATCTCAACCCTAAGAAGGGGGGACATAAGGAAGGGGTCGGGGACGCTAAGGCAAGGAGATTCAGACATATTATTGGGGTTTCCAGGACAAGGTTTGCCCAGCATATGCCTGTAGGACAGCTGTTAAAACTCCAAGTTCACAAAAGTTAGAAACATGGTTAATAAGGTTATCCGTGTTCAAAATGTTTCCCATAGAATAATGAGGTCCTGTCAAATGCCTCGATCTTCCAGTTTGCCTATCAGTAAATTTGGGTGAAGATTTAACATTTACCTTATGTGGGATAAAAAGAGAATTTATGGAGTAACAGTTTATATAACACTCTAAGAGCCTTATGTTTAAAAAGTGCAAAATAGGTTCAGTGCTTAAAATAGCGACAGCAAGCAAACAGCATAGATTCATGGCAGAGGTTAATTCCATAAGCCAAAAAGCTAATGTTTTGAGTGAAAAGGGGGAAAAAATCATACATTTGTACTTGCAGTTGTAAACAAGAAGGCATGCTGGGTAGGTAGCCTGAAGCCGCTGGAATTAGAAAAATCCTTTCTGAGATTTTCTTTCCATTATTTATAGGCTAGAGAAGATTCATTGTTTGCAAAACAACAGGGGCAGCTCTGTTTCTACATCCGTTGACACAGGAAAATCTTTTCATGGAGGATTTATTTGAAGTTCTGTAGTCATTTTTCCCCTTCTATCTGGATATTTTAAATATAAAAAGTCAAATGGCAAAAGTTTTCCATTTGATACTAAATCAACATTAAAAAGGACTACTATTCTGAATGGGTTAGGGTAAAGTTAGAAAAGGGAAAGGAAGAATTGTCAATAATACACAGAAGATTTAATTAGTGGAAATATTAGTTGCTGAAATAATAATTTAAATAGGTGAGGTCCTTGGTTTGTTTCTCTCTTTTTGGCTAAATTCAAGTGTAAGTATTACCAAGAAACTGTTTATTCATTTTTGACATGGGCCCTCTATTGAAATAAAGCTGATTTTAGGAGGAGCATTTATGAAGGAGAGTAGAGTGCTAGAATTCAGATTCCACCCAACTGATATACCAGAATGCCCTTTTTGCTATTGTAACTGCTCCAGAAACCTCCAGGTTTAAGGAAAACATGAAGCACATTGGATCTGTTCCTGAAGGAATTTTTCATTCATGCGTTGATGTTGTTTTGACAATATAGCAATTCTCACCTTCAAGGAGATCTCTTAATTATTCAAGTTAAAAAAAGTATATATTTAATGTGTAAAACATAATGTTTTGATATATACATACATAGTAAAGTGATTACTACAATCAAGTCAATTAACATAGGAGGGGTTTTCAAAATCTTCATAGAAAATGCATATTATGAAAAAAGTATGCGTGGATTTCAATTTTTTTGCAGTAAAATAGACTCATACTAACTTATTGTAACCATGTCTGAACAGAATCTAGTTTGAAGTACTAAGAAGGATTAGACATAAGTTTGAAAAGAAAAAAAACAAAAAATCCTATCAGAACAACATGGATTCTGCAAAAATTGAAGCAATTTTACGGTCAAGCTTGGGTAGAATAATGATGAAATCATTTATGCTTTATAAAAAATGTATGAGGATCATGCCCCAAAGAAGTCAGCAGTTTACAAATATATATCTTGTTTTAAGAAGGGAAGAGATGATGTTAAAAGTTAAGCCCACAGCAGTAGGCCATTCTAATCAATTTGTGGGGAAAAGAATTCATCTTGATTACGCCATAACTGACAGTGCGAACAATAGCCAATGCCATTGGCATCTCAGTTGCTTCAGCTTACCCATTTCTGACTGAAAAAATTAAAGTTCAGCAAATATTCCACTCAATGGATACCAAAACCATTGTGCCCAAATAAACTGCAGACAAAAGCAGAGCTTTCACTAGAGATTTTTTTTTTTTTTTGGGATGGAGTCTTGCTCTGTCGCCCAGGCTGGAGTGCAGTGGCACTATCTTGGATCACTGCAAGCTCCGTCTCCTGGGTTCACGCCATTCTCCTGCCTCAGCCTCCCGAGTAGCTGGGATTACAGGTGCCCGCCACCATGCCTGGCTAATTTTTTGTATTTTTAGTAGAGACAGGGTTTCACCGTGTTAGCCAGGATGGTCTCGATCTCCTGACCTCGTGATCCGCCTGCCTCGGCCTCCCAAAGTGCTGGGATTACAGGCATGAGCCACTGCGCCCGGCCTCACTAGAGATTTTAAACAAGTGAGATCAAGTTACAGAAGCTTTCTTCAAAGAATTATAACAAGAGATGAAACTTGGCTTCTCCAGTACAATCCTGAAGACAAAGCACAATCGAAGCAATGGCTACCAAGAGGCGGAAGTTGCCCAGTCCAAGCAAAAGCAGACCAGTCACAAGCAAAGGTCATGGCAACAGTTTTGGGATGCTCAAGGCATTTTGCTTATTGACTTTCGGGAGGGCCAAAGATAATAAAATCTGCTTATTATGAGCGTGTTTTTGAGAAAGCCAAAATTTTAGCAGAAAAATGCCCAAGAAAACTGCGCCAGAGTCCTTTCCCACTATGACAATCCTCCTGCTGATTACTCACATAACATAAGGAAAATTCTGCAAAAGTTTGGATGGAAAATCACTAGGCATTCCCCTCATAGACCCAATTTGGCTGTTTCTGACTTCCTTTTGTTTTGTAATCTTTAAAAAAAATAGTGGGCGCTCATTAGTCTGCAGGTAAGAATGTAAAAACGACTACATTGGAATGGTTAAATTCCCAGGATTCTCAGTTCTTTCAGGATGAACTAAGTGGCTGGTATCATCACTTACAAAAGTGTCTTGAACTTGATGGAACTTATGTGGAGAAATAAAGTTTATATTTTTTATTCTTGTATTTTAATTCCTTTGGCCAAAAACTTTTTGAAGTCCTCTGGTATGCATCATCTCAGATAGTTACCTTTCTTTTCTGTGTGTAAGAGTACCTAAAATCTACTCCCTTGACAAATTTCCAGGATTCAATACAATATTACTAACTAGGGTTACAGTTAGTAACTTGTGGATAGATGTCTAGATTTACTCACATTACATTGCTGTAATTTCCTACCCTTTCACCTGCATCTCCCCATTTCCCCCCTTGCCTTCCTTCTCCCACCAACCATCATTCTATTATCTATTTCTATGAATTTGATTGCTTGTTTGTTTTTAATATCCCACATATAAGTAAGATAATGCAGTCTTTTTCTATGTCTGGCTTATTTCACTTAGAATAACATCTTCTAGGTTTATCCATGTTTTCACAATTGGCAGGATTTCCTTATTTTATAAGTTTGGATAATATTCCATCATATATATCACAGTTTATCCATTCATGCATCGATAGGCACTTCAGTTGTTTCCATGTCTTGGCCACTGTGAATAATGCTGCAAGGAATATGAGAGTGGAGCTATCTTTACAAGGTGGTGATTTCATTTATTTTGGGTATATACTCCAGAAGAGGGATTGCTGGGCTATATGGTAGTTCTGTTTTAAATTTCTTTAGAAACCAACACACTGTTTTTCATGATGGCAGCAGCAATCTACATTCACACCAACAGTGTAGAAAGTTTCATGTTCTCCACTCCGTTGCCAACATTGTTATCTCTTGTCTTTTTGATAAAAGCCGTTCTAACAGGTGTGAGGTCATATCTCATTGGGGGTTTGGATTTCTTTTTTTCCCTGCTGATTAATGAGGTTGAACATGTTTTCATTAATCTGTTGGCTACTGTTATGTGTGTGTGTGTGTGTGTTTTTTTTTTTTGAGATACTCCCATTCAGGTCCTTTGCCTTTTTTTTTTTAAATTGGGTTTTTAAATTATTTTGCTATGGAGGTATGTGAATTCCTGAGATATTTTGGATATTCATGACTTGCCCATTACTCCTAAGATTACCAAATTCAAATTTAAGGCAACAAAAGTATTTCTCCAAGTGATACAGAAAACTAGTCTCATTATGTTAGAAAGACTCATGGAATAATTTCTAACTACTTACTCAATTCTTGTGTTATACTCAGATTTCTCCCCAAGACTTAATAAGCTCTGGAGTTCGGTAAGAAACATCAGTCTTATGACTGTATGACTGATGAGCAGCAAAGGAAAATATGCTGTGTGTCGTCTTTTAGGTAGGTCCTTCCTCATGTTCCTTTGTTAATTAGGACCTTCTGGTTGAAAGTGTCAGAAACATGTTTGTGCTAACTTAAACAAAAATCCAGAGGAAAGCGGCTGAACCTCAGGATAAGACGAGGGTATGAAACATGAGCAGAATTCTCCCATCTCTTCCTCGCTCTGCATAGCTCCTTGATTTTTCTGTCTTTGCAGTGACTACCTCAGCTTATCTGATCCACATGGAAAAACAAAAAATGGCCATACGCAGTTCCAACATTGATCTGTTACTGGTCAGACCCCCAGAAGGAGCCTGCATCAACAATGGATAAAATTTCAGTCTTAGGGGTAGAGCTGCATAGGCGAAACAGTGGTGGCAGCCAGAGACAGGGAGACTTTGGGCAGGCTGCCCAGGGCCTGCATGCGGGTGTGGGGTACATCCTCGGGGAAAGGCACTGGACAGCCTGAAACACAGCTTGCTTGGTGCATAGTGTTTGAATCACACAATGCCTGATCGGATACCATCACAGCAAATATGAAGTTTGTTCTGTTGTAAGCAATTGGTCTCAATGGCCTTTTAAAATTATATCCCCTCCCCCACTCCACATTGGGAAAATGTGTCATTTTCACTTAGTTGCTTCTGATGGGATCTGGCTTCTTAAAAAATCTACTTTGGCAGTGCAAATAATCCCTTTCCTAATATAAGTGGACTCATGTTATTCCTGGGAATGTGGATTGTGGGACATGAGGCTACCCCAGGGATTGGTTTTCTATCTGTCTGTCAGCCCCTCAATTCCCATTTCCTACCATCCATCCACATGCCTGAATAATTGCCCCTGGAATTGAGACATCTTTATGAACTAATCATGGCCTCCGCTGAAGCAGGATCTTTCCTCTCCATTTGCAGTGATTTTGGGGGTGATCTATTCCATTACTACTGGCATGCATTCAGACTTACATTTCCACACTTGATCTTTTCTGGCTGTTAAAGGCCATATCTCTTGTAGGACGTCTTAATTCTAAAATTCCAGCGATTTCATTACCATCTCAAAGTGGATGAGGAAGACGGATTTCTCAAGGGTAAAGTTTCTAGAGAGAATTCTCTCGCACATTGTTGAGATTTAAGGCATTATTAGATAGATTCTGCCCTGATCCAGTCAGCCTTCCCTTTCCTTCAGGGGCTGTTGGTAAAAGGGAAATAAAATTGTGCATGTATCACTTTCTGGGCCACTACTTGATTATTTGATGTAAGACTTTCATAGATAAAGCTGGAGCATGTTACTTAAGCTCAAAGCTAAAGTGAGAAATCCTTTTCTTTCTGAAACAGAAACACACCAGGGTAGAAGAAAAGAGGTAAAGAAAAAAATAAGGCAAGCTCCAGGAAACTTACCTACCTAGACATGAACGCAGGAAAATAGAAGATTCAGAGGTTTAATATAATAACCCTGTCCATTAAAATACACAGACATATCTGTATCCTGGAAACTGACCCAATCATATTAAAATTATCTCCTTTTTGGGAGGAGAAGGAAGGGGTTCTTCATCATTTTATGCCACTTCTATGCCACTTTTCAATCTCTTTCACATATGCACACACATCCAAAGACACATATTACTGTAACCATCATAGTTGCCGTGGAAGCACAACCATCAGCTGGTAATGTGGTTTTAAAATACCAGAGTAAATTTAATGTTTTCTAAAAAGTTTATTTTTCTACATTCAGGCTGATATTGTTACTAAATGCTCTCTCTCTCTCATAAAACACAGAAGAATAAATCTGGAATTTATTTGTGAAGATTACAAGAGGTGATAAAAAGCAGTAGCTATAACGATATCTACTGAGTTGCCCTTCCCCGAATCTTTATTTGAGACTTTAACTCCTGAACTATTGTGGTTCTCATTTCTGTGATTCTCACCCCTTACACATTTACCCTGTCCACTATTCCTAAATGAATTGCTTAAATAAATATTATGATAATTAATTTTTTTGTCTATCTTGTTTCATAATTTCACTACCCTCATCGCCAGCCTTCCAAGGCTCTCTAAAGTCATTTCTGCCACTCTGATTATGTAATACCCTGTTTCAAAATCACAGTCTTCCCTTGCTTCCCCACCACCACTTTTCACTTTATATCCTTGATAGGTGCATGTGCTTTTATATTTTCAAGAGTTTATATTTTCAAGAGTTTACCATCTTCTGTGTTTGAAAGTAGACCTTTCATTGCACCTCTGCTCTGGGTGACTCAGTGAGCTTTCTCTTCCCTCCTACCTGGCCATAGTGCCTCATTTATCATGGGGCTTCCAGAGGTCACCTGGGCAGACAGCTTTGCAAGACACCAGAACACATGTGCTCACGTTTCCCAAGTTTCTCTAAAGGCCCTTAGCAATTGTTCTTCATCAAGGAAGAAACTGGCTTGAGTTCCATACTAACAGAAAATAAAAATAAAATTTTAAATGCCAAAATACTAATGAGGAATTCTGAAGTCAGCAAAGGCAGACTCAGAAGACACTTTTAGAATGAGTGGATGTTCATGAACATGCCACGGATTTGTCAGTTGGTTGCATGTTTGAGTCTTTCCTAGTAGTGAAATTGAATTTGTACTGATTCATTCGTACACTCTCATCCATCCTGCCCTCTCCCTGGACCCAGTGGCGTGATCTCAGATGGTTGGCTAGAATCGCTAGTGTGGTTTGTAACTACAGCACAAAGCAAAGTTAATTTTATAACTGGAGGAGCAAATCCATGACCTTTGGGCTAAGCAGCATGGTTTACACCTTTGCAGAACTAACCTACTGTTAAGTATAATACGGGCATCTTGACTACAAAATCTATAAAAACTCTTGAATTTACATGTCCAGAGGAGCAGGGATTTTGTGGTACATCCTGCCTAATCATTGCTGGAACCCTATAAATATTAAACAGTAAACATACAGCTCAACTGTGCTGCTGTCTGCAACTTGCTTTGCATGCATAATTAGAATAAATGACAAATTCATGTCAGTCTATCCAGATAGAGTGCACATGGACACCATTAATTGTTTAGTGAAAAATATGAAGTGAAACTTGGGTAGTTTAATAGTAAAATGGCATTATGAATTATTCCACCCATCAATATATATAAATCCGGGCATGAAAAGCAAGTCAAAATAATTTTTACATAATAAAACATGACACATTGTCGTGATGCTATTAATTATTGCTCTGTAGATTATTTTACTGTGTCTACGAATATTTAGTGTTTTTCTATTACATAAGAATTTTGACTTTTCATGATGCCTATTAAAGTGATAGTCCATACATTTTTTTAAACCATAATTTAAATCATTATTCCTTTCAAGAAAATATACAGCAACCTCTGAAGGGAATGAGTATTTGGATACTTTTCTAAACGATTTTGTAAGAATTGAGAATAAATATTGTAGTAAACAGAATTTCTTGTTTAAAGCCCTTAACGTTTTTCTCTTTGTTCGAAGGACAGGAATACAGTGAAAAAAAGAGACCTCGGCTAGAGATTGTGTTCTACAGTTTATCAACTGCGTGACCTTGGTCAAGCCAATTAGCCCCTTTGTGCTTGTTTTCTAAACTTTAAAAACAGAACCATGTTTGCTTTTCCAGCTTCACGTATAAGGATTAAATGAGATAACATATGTAATACTTTGTGGAAAGGCACTGGAAATATAAGATACTGTTCTTTGTACCGTAACATGTTCTAGAACAAAATACTGGGGCTCGCTGATACTTGTTAATGCCTCATGTCTTCTATTGATTTGAATCGATCCTGTCCATAGGAGATCCTTGAGTTCTTTTGGGAGAAGATATTGAAAGATAAAGAGATGTGTGGCCAGCACGGCTTAGCCACATGTGTGCTGATGCATGGGGCTCTTGCTGTAGAATTAAGGAAAACTTATTTCCTAGAGGTATAAATAGCTGAATTAGACTCTTAATTTAAAGAGTCCATTAAAACACAACATGATTTGATCTTTTTAAAGTAGCTAAAGTTCACTAGTAATTGTGATCTAACAATTCTACTGTAGATAAAATTACATCATTATTGAAAATCGTATGTTTCCAGGAGAATTCTTGTAAGATGTATCTAAGACAAATTCTTTTTAGCTCTGTTACTGATGTTCTGCTCCATAGGATCAATTTCTTTGAAACCAAAGAATTCAAGAAGCAGCCATTTAATAAACAATTATTTAGTGCCTATTTCATGTCATCCAATGATGAATCAGATGTGATATTAACCCTCCAGGATTGTATAGCACTCTTAGCTCGATTAGCCAGCTGCTCAGTGATGATTTCTAATTCAGTAAGATAAAGGAAATGATTCCAAAAATTCTTTCTAAAGGTCTTTTTTCCCTCCTATAACGATAGCTATAAGAAGAAGATCCACTTGCTACTTTGCTACTCTCCCTACTCTGACTTAAATGTCAGAGTCGCTTTGACCTTTAAGATTTAAATTACATTGGCTCAAATGTCCATTCTTCATACAGGGAAAGACTTAGTACCTTCTCAGGATTTCTGAGGATTCTTGGGAGAGTTTAAAAGTACTTAGTTACTTCTGATTTTGGGTTCTTGCTTCTGTTGAATTTGTTCTGTGTTTGGGTAATTTCTCAAGCATGTGATATCTGTTTTCCATATATGTTACCTTGCATTAGGAGACCCGAATTCCTTTATAGCCCCCAACTTACGGGGGCTTAAGGGGACGAGGGGAAAGTGCTGATGTAAATAACTTTGGGAATTAGTCTGCAAGGCTAAAGGCAAATTAAACATTGTATTGTAGTTGATTAAGTTGTTTCCCATAGGGGTACTGGTTAACAATTCTGATACTACTATACATGCCTACTACGATTGAGCAATTAAGTAAATGCTTGATGGATGATGGTAGCCAGATTTCTCAATGTTGGAGTGAGAATTTAAAGTATTCATAGTATTTGTAGTAAACTTTTGTGAAGTTTCCATGCCGTACAAGGTATTTACACTGAAGCACTGTACACAACTTAACATTGAATTAGGCAAAGCAATACAACTTGTAGAAGAAAACCAAGAAGGAAACTTAATTAACCTTGGATTTGGTGATGAGTTTTTAGGTATAACACCAAGAATGTGATCCATAAAATAAAAAAAAAGTGAACTTTATTACAATTATAAACTGCTCTGTTCTGTCAAATATGCTGTTAAGAAAATGGAGAGACAAGCCACAAACTGGGAGGAAATATTTGCAAAGCACATATCTGAAAAAGGACTTGTATCCAAAATATACAAATAATACTTAAAACTCAACAGTAAGGAAACAAACAACCCAATTAAAATATAAGCAAGAAATCTGAAAAGGCATCTCACTAAAGAAGATATACAGATGGCAAGTGCACATATGAAAAATGCTCAACATCATATGTCATTAGGGAAACATAAATTAAAATAACCATAAGATACCACCACACACCTATTAGAATGCCCCAAATTCAGAGCACTGATTACTGATTGCCAGTGAGGAGGTGGAGCTACTGGAAACTCATTTACTGCTGATGGGAATGCAAAATGATAGAGCCACTCTGGAAGGCAGTATGGTGGTTTCTGACAAAGCTAACCATACTCTTAGGAGCTGCACTCCTTGGTATTTATGCAATTGAGTTAAAAAACTCAATTGTCCACACAGAAAATTGCATGCAAACATTTGTAACAGCCTTATTCATAATCATCATAACCCACAAGCAACCAAGATATTCTTTAGTAGGTGAATAGATAAAGAAACTGTGATATAGCCATACAATGGAATATTAGTCACTAGTAAAAAGAAATGAGGTATGAAGCCATGGAAAGATATGCAGGAACCAAGTGCGTATTGATAAGTGAAAGAAGCCAGGGTGAAAAGGCTGCATGATATATAATGGTAACAGTGGGACATTTTGGAAAAGGCAAAACCATGAGACAATAAAAAGATTGGTGGTTTTTAGGGGTTCCAGGAAGGGATGGAAGAAGGGATGAATAGCTGAAGCACAGATTTTTTAAAGTGATTAAACTATTCTGTTGTGGGTACATGTCACTATACATTTATCAAAATCCATAGAGCAAACAAAGAGTAAAACTTAGTGGACAATATTTAATAACAATGTGTCAGTATTGGTTTATTGATTGTAACAATAGTGTATTAGTCTGTTTTCATGCTACTAATAAAGGCATACCTGAGACTGGGCAATTTAAAAAAGAAAGAAGTTTAACGGACTTACAGATCCACGTGGCTGGGGAGGCCCCACAATCAAGGCGGAAGGTGAAAAGCACGTCTCACATGGCGGCAGGCAAGAGAAGAGAGCTCGTGCAGGGAAACTCCCCGTTTTAAAACCATCAGAGCTTGTGAGTCTTATTCACTATCACCCGAACAGCATGGAAAAGACCTGTCCCCATGATTCAATTACCTCCCACTGGGTCTCTCCCACAACACGTGGGAATTTAAGATGAGATTTGGGTGTCGACACAGCCAAACCATATCAAATAGTGTTATACTGATGCTAGATGGTAGTGATGTGGAAACTGTGTGGGGTGGGAGTAGGGGTGGAATGGATAGGTGGAACTCTGTTATTATCTGTCGAACTATTCCATATATCAAAAACTATACTAAATTTAAATGTATTAATTATTTTTAGGAAAGTCTACATACTTTATGATTCCAGGTATGAGACGTTCCAGAAAAGGCAAAACTATAGCACTGGTAAAAAGGTCACAGGTTGCCAGGGTTTGGGGAGTGGAGGAGGTTGAGCACATGAAGAACAGGGGATTTGGGGGATGAATAGTGGGACTATGCTGTATGATACTAAAATGGTGGATACATTACACTATGAACTTTACTCATATAACTTTATAGCCCAAAAAAATAAAATTTAATGTATGCAATTAAAAAATAATGACTTAGAAGGTGCTGAGATCCCAGGATGGAAGGAAGAATGTGACAAAACAATCTCTCTGTATTACAAATGTATGAAACAACCTCTCTGAAGGGGACGAGGGGAAAGTGCTGATGTAAATAACTTTGGGAATTAGTCTGCAAGACTAAAGGCAAATTAAACATTGTACTGTAGTTGATTAAGTTGTTTCCCATAGGGGAACTGGTTAAGAATTCTGATACTACTATACATGCCTACTACGATTGAGCAATTAAGTAAATACTTGGTGGATGATGGTAGCCAGATTTCTCAATGTTGGGGTGAGAATTTAAAGATAAGTAAAGGAGGGAGACTGGAATGATCAATGTGCTAATACATTAGAGTTCAAGATACAGTACAAACTCATACCTAATTTTAGGTCCCCTATTGTTGACGTCTATATTTCAGTTTTTTATCTACCTACTCCATGCACATTTATGTCACACCTGGCTAAATCTTTTCTCTCTAATTAAAGTTTTGCCCAGTCATAGAGATTGTGTAATTACTAGTTGGAAACCTGGGTCTTGGTTGTATCAAACTCCCTGGTGTAAACATCCCAGTAACCTTGCTAATTAATATGGTCTCTGTGCTTCACTTTTCTCCTCTGTAAAATGTCAATAATAATTATTTTAAGACAATAGAGTTATTTCAAAGCTCAAGACAAGTAAAGGGCTTACCATCTTACATGTGGCAAATGTTTAATACATGCTAGCTATTATTTTTCTGCTACTGAATTTAAGTTTCTCATCTTCATCAATGACAGCCCTGACACCATCCACTCTGGAGCCAACTCTTGAATTTTGGGTTGACTTTGCTCTGCTCTCTTTCTGAAATCGTAGCCTCTGATATATATCCTCCCTCGCATTCTCAGCTCTTATTCACTTATTCCCAGCTATTTCCTCCACCACAGTGGAACCTCAGGTCCCTTGATCTTTCTTTCTCTCTGAGCTCTCCGCCTTCTCGGAGCTTTTCTTCTGTTGCAAACACAAGCACTCCCCGAAGTCCATGTTCTCCCCTTCTTTCTGAGCACAGAGAGAGAGATGGCATTTCCTGATCTCCCTTGTCGTTAGAGGGAAGCAATGCAATAGAAGTGGAAGTGATATGAGCCACTTCAGCCTGGCCTACACACATTCCCACACAGGATTCTCCATGATCTTTTCCTATCCTCTAACCAGATGGGAAATACTTTGATGACTTCAGGCATCATGTGGCGAAGGCAGCAGAGCCCACGCCAAACCAGTCACTGAATGATTCTGTGGAGTAGAACCCTTCTCAATACTCCAACTCCTCCACCCCTGCCTGCTTGGAACCATTTACAAGTGTTAAATGAGCAAGAAATGAACTTTTCTGGTGTTACAGCCATTGCACATTTCCAGGCAGATTTGCTAAAGGAGAAAGTGTTACCTTAATTAAGAAAACTGCCTTACAACAGACTCCACGACTTGAACTACGTGGATTCAAAAGGCATTTTCAATCAAGACCCTTTTATTCAAGAGGGAGCAGATCAGCTGCAGTGCACAGTCACAGAATGGTGGCTGAGCTGACTTGCTTCCTAAATCAAATTATTAAAACAACAATAAGATACCACTACACACCTATTAGAATGCCCCAAATTCAGAGCACTGATTACTGATTGCCAGTGAGGAGGTGGAGCTACTGGAAACTCACTTCCTGCTGATGGGAATGCAAAATGATAGAGCCACTTTGGAAGGCAGTATGGTGGTTTCTGACAAAGCTAACCATACTCTTAGGAGTTGCACTCCTTGACATGTATTCAATTGAATTAAAAAACTCAATTGTCCACGCAGAAAATTGCAGGCAAATATTTGTAACATCTTTATTCATAATCACCAAAACCCAGAAGCAACCAAGATATTATTTATAGGTGAATAGATAAAGAAACTGTGATATAGCCATACAATGGAATATTAGCCACTAGTAAAAAGAAATGAGGTATGAAGCCATGGAAAGATATGCAGGAACCAAGTGCGTATTGATAAGTGAAAGAAGCCAGGGTGAAAAGGCTGCATGATATGTAATGGTAACAAAGGGACATTTTGGAAAAGGCAAACCCACAGAGACAATAAAAAGATGGGTGGTTTTTAGGAGTTTACACTCTGCAGTCCATTGCTTCAACCTTGTCCATACCAACATCCTGCAGTCCTTGCCCCATTGCTCTTTCCTTGTGTTTGTCCAGTTGTTACTCTTCCTCCGTGCATGCCCCATCTGTAAGTCACACCTCTGCTTCTACCCAGCCACCTCCTTTCCCACGAATACAGATGGTGTTGCCTCCGGCCTTGGGAGAAAAACAGATTGCTACAATTACTGGTGCTACCAGAGGAGTGGCTACCACATATTAAGTGCATCTGTGAGTTTGTGTATCTCCCTTCCTTAACAAAAGGAGGGTCGTACACTACGATGTCGAAAAGCACTGGTAATAACCCTGGTACGAAATGAAGGCTGCTCCATTTAGAATGGCAAGCTAAGGGCAGGCAACTTGGATGCACCTGAAAGGATATTGGGTTTTGTTAAAAAGATGAGAACACTCACAGTGAAGCTGTCATACCCCAAAAGGAGTTGTGTATAGAGGACACTGAAGAATAGAGGCCCTGGGTCCTTCAGGGAGGAAACATGGGGCTCTGTGTTCCTGGGGCTGGTTTTGTAGCGAGACTTTGCACATCAACTGCAGGAAGCGTCACAGGTCCGGGAGGCCAGGAGGGTTTTGGAAAATGGCTCTGGTTCAGCACCTGTGGGAATAGTTGGAGAAAATATCTCAGCCCACGTCCTTGGGCCTGAACATCGGGAACAGAATGGTCGTTAGACTGGGTGCCACCTATGGCTGAGTCTCCTGGTGCCTCTGCACAGAAAGCTGCAATTTCTGAGTTCCCGAACCTCACGCCCATGTAATCATACTCTGCAGTTAGGATAAAGGCAGTTTATCCTTAAATGTCTGGCTCTTCAACCTCTGAAACCTCGGGGAACTTAAGGTTCTGACAGCAGGAGTAGGAGCCTCTTTCATTCAGATGGTGAGGAAATTAAAAGAAAAAAAAAAACCATTTGTTCCGAAGTTCCCAGGATGGACTGGCTAGTGATAACTCACTCAGCAAGGAAAAACAAACAAACAAACAAAAAGCTTAGTGGTAGTTTATCCTGTGTCAACCAAGTAAACTGGAAGTATGTTACCTGGAATACCCTTTCTAGGTTAGTACAGGCCGAAAGAGGAATCTATGCAGAAGCTTGCAGGCAGAAGTGAAGCAGCAGCTCTGATTCTCTGAAGTTGTCTTGGCGACACAGTGACAGCCAGGCCAAGTCCCACAGCTCCTGCTGGACCTCACTCTGCCTGTTCTTATTCTCAGCTGCTGACCTTGCTGGCCCATAGCAGACCCGGGACAACCACCAAATGCTTGGCTGTAGACCTACAGAAATAGTACCTACAGAGAAACACCAGCTTCCAGGAACTTCTGTAGCTCCCGTTGTGGTTCCACTCTAGCACCTGGAAATGCCTGGCTTTTTAAAAGTACATGGAGGGCTTTTTCCCAAACCTTGAGTCTGTGATGAGAATTGCATCCCTGGCACTGCAAGGGCAACCGTGACCAAGACTGTATTCTTCTGTGGCCCTGGGTGCCCTCACTCTGACGGGCACACTCTGATGATGCTTTGAACTCTCTCCATCTCATTGCCAGCCTAGCCCTTGCTTCCTCTGGGCCTTGAGATGTCCAGGTATTCCCTTGACCCCAGGTACAGTCATGCAAGTGTGTGCCCCTGAGAGCCTTCGGAAGAGGACTGGGTGTCATTACAAAAGGTACTTGCCATGGTATTACAGAGCGCTTCATCCTCTTAGAATCTCTGTTTTCATGATGGAACCCTGACTGGTGTGCACTTTGGATGGCACACTTTGGACTTGTTATGGACTGAAAATTTGTGTCTCTCCAAAATTCATACATGAAAGCTTTAACCCCCAATCAGATGGTATTAGAAAGGAGGTATTAGAAAGGATTAGGAGGTAATTAAGTTTAGATGAGGTCATGAGGATGGGGCTCCCACGATGGGATTAGTGTCCTTATAAGAAGAAGAAGAGAGAGGAGAGCTGTCTTTCTCTCTGTGAGGACATAGGAGCAGAAAGAGGATCCTCACTGAGAAACTGAATCACCCAGCACCTTGCTCTTGGACTTCCAGCCTCCCAAACTGTGAGAAATAAATGTCTGTTGTTTAAGCCACCCAGCTATGGCATTCTGTTATAGCAGCCTGAATAGACTAAGACAGGATTGTTCATTGAGGAATGTAGGAACTTAGTGTAAGTATAAATTAGATGATACTACTGGCTTCTAACAGAGTGGGAGGTTGGTTCAGCTTCCTTGATTTTCATGCCAATTGTTGAGGACAGCTTCTACTCTGCCACCATTGCTGGTCCATTTCAGGCAGCCAAAGGAAATAGGATTATGCCATCTTAGAGTCCATCTGAGATGCTAAGAAGCACTTGGTAAGGGATCAGCAAACTCTGGTTCATGGGGCTCCCACCCACTCTTGTAAATAAAGTTTATAGGAACACAGCTCATTTGCCTGTGTATTATCTACGACCACTTTTGTGCTACGACAGCAGAGCTGAGTAGTTGCAACACAGACCACATGGCTTGCGAAATCCAAAATATTTACTACCTGACCCTTTAAGAAAAAGTTTACTGACTCCTAATCTGCTGACTTCCAGTTATCCTAAGTCTCATGTTTGCCTTTTTGGGTCATAAGCATTCATTAAAATATTAGCTATTTTATTCTCATTTTTCTGGTAGCTGCCTCTTCCTTCCCTGCTCTGTCAAAGAAGTAATTTTGTGTATCTCCTAATTCCTTGGAGGGCTTTTTTACTTTTAATAATTCAGTTTATTTGGTTGTGTTGTGGCCTCAGCTCTCTGATCTACTCCAAAAAATTAGGATTTTATAGATTATTGGCTTTTTGCCATTATTAGGGCAGGAGTGATTTTTCTTATGAGTTTCTATATCCTAATTAGGAATGAAACACCACTAAACTATGTTCTATTATTGGTATTAATAACTCTTAACATCACAAAGGTGTATCCATTAAGAACATTCAGCATGTCTTATCTATCTACATATCTGCCCTCTTTTGTGATATATTAAAAAATGTAAGGATGAGACTTCTCTGACCCAGGTTGCAGACTGCTTAGATATGGGCACCTTCTCAGTCTGTTTTTCCTATCACCTCCTCTTATGAGTTGTACTCCCACTCTCAGGACCAATAACAGAGTGAGAAACTCTCTCTGTGCTTGGATGCAAGCCTTGGGTGATAAAGCCAATGATTTTTTTTTTTCTTTTTTTGCCTCTTTCAGTGAATAAACAGTGGAACATTTGTGTTATTTTTGTGCCATTAGCTTATCCATTTAACTTTCCTTTAAATTTCCAAGTGCAGCTAAATTTCTTTTTTTTCTGGGATTTAACCATGCCAGGGGCAGGTTTGCTTTCTAATGCTAGTGGAGAAAAATACCCTAATGAGAGATGATGGCTCTTCCAGATGCCTTTAAGTGTCCAAAGAGAATTTACCACCTCCTGAGATAAATTTAGCATTAAGTGGCTCAGACTGATGGTTGTAACAGCAACACGGCAAAACCATATAGGAGGAACTTCCCAGGAACGAAAGGATAAGATCAGATCAGCTGTCAGTCAGCATGGAGGCTGTGACCCTGTTGTCACTACTCCCTCACTTGACACTTCTGAGAAGGATGACATGTCTTGAGCATGGGGATCTGCTGCCATAGCCAGTGATGGCAGCCCCATAAGTAGCTTCTTGGACAGGTCAATAAATAAACTGATTGCTTTACAGAATTTGGGCCTTTTAAAATTAATTCTTCCAACTATCTGTACAAGGATACTAATAAATTCTTTGTTTCTATTGTTTTCATTTGTTCAAGACTCATTTTATGTGAAACTGTTGAAACACCAACAAATCAGCTTCATTAGTATTTATTAATGATTACTGGAGCTGCTAAGCCCATCCTATTTTCCTCCAGAAACCAAACTTCCAACAATAGTTTCCATTGAGACAGGTGAGGAGCTAGGGGCTGAAACTCTCTGAGCAGTGAAAGGCGGGGTTCACAGGCGTGGTAGGTTTGCAGGGGTAGGACCAATACCAGGTGTCTGTAGCTTCATCCTAAAAAATGTGCTTCTTCCTATCAGGGTTTTTTTTTTTTTTTTTTTCCCAATGTGAAAAGTTCACAACAGTTTTAGTTTTTAGGAAATAAAAATATGTAAAATGATTTTTATGAGGAAATATTTCAAATATCCCTCAGAGTAGAAGGCTCCAACCCCTAGGCTGTGGACAGCTACCAGTCTGTGGCCTGTTAGGAACCGGGCCACACAGCAGGAGGTGAGCAGCCGGCCAGGGAGCATGACTGCCTGAGCTCCACCTTCTGTCAGCTCAGTGGCAGCATTTGATTCTCATAGGAGCACAAACCCTATTGTGAACTGTGCATGTGAAGGATCCAGGTTGTGTGCTCCTGATGAGAACTAAATGCCTGATGATCTGAGGTGGAACAGTTTCATCCCAAAACCTCTTCTGATATGGTTAGGCTGTGTCCCCACCCAAATTTCATCTTGAATTGTAGCTCCCACAATCCCTATGTGTAATGGGAGGGACCTGCTGGGAGGTAATTAAACCATGGGGGCGGGTTTTCTTGTGCTGTTCTGTTGATAGTGAGTAAGTCTCACAAGATCTGATGGTTTTATAAAGGGCAGTTTCCCTGAACAGGCTTTCTTGCCTGCTGCCATGCAAGAAGTGACTTTGCTCCTCCTTCACCTTCTGCCATGATTGTGAGGCCTTCCCAGCCATATGGAACTGTGAGTCCATTAAACCTCTTTTTCTTTATAAATTATGCAATCTCAGCTATTTCTTCACAATAGTATGAAAATGGACTAAGACAACCCCCTACCCTGGTCCGTGGAAAAATTCTCTTCCATGAAACTGGTCCCTGGTGCAAAAAAGGTTGGGGACCACTGCCTCAGAGGATAGAGAATAATGTAAGCCCTTGCCTTCATCATCCAGATTTAAAGAAATAATGACTTTTCCCTCACATTTGCTTCAGGTCATTTTCTAAAATGAATGCTTTCTAACAGAACAGCAGCCCACTTTTCTCACCAGGCTGGAATCTGTGGCACCCACGTTCCTGGATAGATGACCTCCTCCTGAGCTTGCATTGCATGAGTCCTTCCTCTCATTCCCTTGACTTCCTTGTCTTCCTCCCCAGCTCCTCCTTAACTCTCCAAAATGCTTGCTCATGCTCAGCATCTGCAAACTTTTCTTCCACTCTGTCTTTCAGAAACCCAGCTGTTCCTTTTCCACTTCCCTTGGGACAGGAGCCAGGGCCATCCATGTACTTGCAAAGTCTACTTCCAAGAAGCTCTTTACCTCCCTTGAACTTTAAAGTTTTTCAGCTAATACATTTTGCCCATAACACAGTCAACCCCATCTCCCAGAATTGTCTACTAAATTCTCAATAGCATAACCCACACACATCTAGGTGGGAATGTTTTAGCTGTATTCATTAATTATTACTGCTATATAATATTCCACTTTATAAGTATAGTACATTTCTGTTGGCCGATGTTACATGTTTGGGTATTATTAAACAATGCTGTTATAAATATTACATCCATCTCTTGTTGCTCATGTGTAAATTTCTTAAAAAATAGAATGATAATTTAGAAGATATGTGTATTCTAAACTTTACTAGATGCTGCTAGAATCTTTCCCAAAGTGGTGGTATCCCCCAACCCTTAAAATTGGCAGAGTTTTAAATTTTCACTTATCTGGTATATAAAATATTATTGGCCTTTCCTGTTTCCTACTCTGCAAAGTTTCTGAGTCAGTCTATTGTTCATTTTTAATTGGGCTGTTTTGTATTTTCTATTGATTTATAGGATACACATGCATATACATGTTTACTACCTATGCATATGATGTATACATCTATATACAAACATACACATGTGTGTATATATGTATTCTGAATTTGGTTCTTTATGGATTATATGTATTGTAAATATCTCCTCTGAGTTTATGGCTTTCTTTTATACTATCTTTTGATGGACCAAATTTTTTATTTTAACATAGTCAAATTTAGAAACCTTGTTTCTTTACTGTTCATGTTGTTTTTGCAATATGTTTATGAAATCATTTAGTACCTGACAATATTTTAAGAATTACTTACATTGTCTTCTAAGTTTTCAAATTTTGCCTTTTACCTTAAATCTTCAATTTGACTCAGAAATGATTCTTGTATTTGGTGTTATATAGGAAAAGGATCGTCCTTTCCTTCAGCTGTGAATAACCAAGTGCTCTCTAGCTGATTTTGGATAAGCTATCCTCTCCTCCCACCATGGTTAGTAATGACATTTGTCTCATGAGTCAAGAATCCATATGTGTGGCTATTTCTCTTTTTTTAGTGCATTTGTTTAGCCCTGCAACACACCACATTTGTAACTTCCCTAGTTTTACGGCTTTCAGTGGCAGATAGACAATCATCATTTTTTCCTTCTACTCTTTAGGCTATCTTAGCTTTTCACTCTCTCATGCATTTTAGAATCAGCACATCAAATTCAATGAAATTTCTGTTGGAATTTCCATTAGAATTGATTAGGTCTATGGATCAATTTTGGCAGGTTTGATTTAAGTTCTATCTTAGAATAGAGTGTATCACTCCATTCACTTAGGACTTTTTTCAATTATTCCAATAAATTTTTATAATTTTCTTCATTAAGACATGCATATATTTGCTTAGATTTAGTATTTCATTACCAAAGATGGGTTTTAAGGGAGCTGTCACTGTAAACTGTAGTTTCCATATGTGCATATAAAGAATGTGTGTTCTTCATTTGTTGACTGCACTGTTGTAGAGATATTGTCACCAGATGAGTTTGGTAATTGTATGGCTTCTGTTTTCTATATCCCCCAAGGTTTTCTGTTTATTTGATCTACTTAGAGTACTGTATTCAAATCTTCTGCTATGATGACAGACATTTAAAATTTCTTTTTTCTTCACTCAATATATTTGACACTAAGTTTTCCGATACATGGAAGTTCAGAAAAAACATGAAGCTAAATTTTGGCTATTATGTGGAAACATCTTTAAATATTTAGTGCCTTTGCTTTAAAAATTATTTTGCCTGATAGTAATATAATTTTACCAGTTTATCTTTGCTTGTTTTCCTTATATGTATTTTTTTCTACATTTTAACTTATAATATTTACTTGTCTTACATTTAAGTTGTTTATTTTACAAATTGCATTGATATGGTTTAGCTGTGCCCCCACCCAAATCTCATCTTGAATTGCAGTTCCCATAATCCGCACATGTCATAGGAGGGATCTGGTGGGAGGTAATTGAATCATGGAAGCAGTTACCCTTATGCTGTTCTCATGATAGTGAGTTCTCATGGCTGGGGAGGCCTCAGGAAACTTACAATCATGGCAGAAGGGGAAGCAAACATGTCCTTCTTCACGTGGCAGCAGGAAGGAGGAGCACCAAGCAAAAGAAGGAAAGCCATGTGAACTGTGAGTCAATTAAACCCCTTTCCTTTATAAATTACAGTTCTGGGTATGTCTTTATTAGCAGTGTTAGAATGGACTAGTACATTCAATTGGTACAGGGTAGTGGGGCAGTGCTGTAAAGATACTCCAAAATGTGGAAGCAACTTTGGAACTAGGTAACAGGCAGAGGTTGGAACAGTTTGGAGGGCTCAGAAGAAGATAGGAAAATGTGGTAAATTCAGAACTTCCTAGAGACTTGGAGGGTTCAGAAGACAGGAAGACATGGGAAAGTTTGGAACTTCCTAGAGACTTGTTGAATGACTTTCACAAAAATGCTGATAGTAATATGGAAAATGAAGTTCAGGTTGAGGTGGTCTCAGCTGGAGATGAGGAACATTTCGGAAACTGGAGTAAATGTTACGCTTGCTATGCAAAGAGACTGGCAACATTTTGTCCCTAACCTAGAGATTTGTGGAACCTTGAACTTGAGACAGGTGATTTAGGGTATCTGGCAGAATAAATTTCTAAGCAGCAAAGTGTTCAAGAGACAGCAGAGCATAAAAGTTTGGAAAATTTTCAGCCTGATGATGCTGAAAACCCCATTTTCTGGGGAGAAATTCAAGCCAACTGAAGACATTTGCATAACTAACAAGGAGCCAATGTTAATCACCAAGACAATGGGGAAAATGTCTCCAGGGCATGTCAGAGACCTTAAAGGAGCCCCTCCCATCATAGGCCTAGAGGCTTAGGAGGGAAAAATGGTTTCATGGGCCAGGTACTGCTCTATGAAACCTTGGTACATGGTGCCCTGCATCCCAGCTGCTTCAGCTCCAGCCATGGCTGAAAGGGGCCAATGTGCAGCTCAGGCTGTTGCTTCAGAGAGTGCAAGCTCCAAGACTTGGCAGCTTACACATGGTATTGGGCCTGTGAGTGCACAGAAGTCAAGAACTGAGGTTTAGGAATCTCCAGCTGGATTTCAGAGGATGTATGGAAACACCTAAATGTCCAGGCAAACGTTCGCTTCAAGGGTGGAGCCCTCATGGTGAACCTCTGCTAGGGCAGTGTGGAAGGGAAATGTGGTGTCAGACCCTCCACACAGAGTCCCCACTGGGGCACTGCCTAGTGGAGGTGTGAGAAGAGGGCCACCATATTCCACATCCCAGAATGGCAGATCCACTGATAGCTTGCACCATGAACCTGGAAAAGCTGCAGACACTCAAGACCAGCCCATGAAAGCAGCTGGGAGGCGGGCTGTACCCTGCACAGCCACAGGGTCGGAGTTGCCTGAGGCCATAGGAGCTCACCTCTTGTATCAGCATGCCCTGGATATGAGACATGGAGTCAAAGGGGATCATTTCAGAGGTTAAAGATTTGGCAGCCCCTCTGGATTTCAGACTTGCATCGGGCCTATAGTCCTGTCATTTTGGCCAACCTCTCCCATTTGGGACAGGTGTATTTGCCCAATGCCTGTATCTAGAAAGTAACTAACTTGCTTTTGATTTTTCAGGCTTATATGCAAAAGGGACTTGCCTTGTCTCAGATGAGACTTTGGACTTGGCCTTTTGGGTCAATGCTGAATACTTTGGGGGACTGTTGGAAGGGAGTGGTTGTGTTTTGAAACGTGAGGACATGAGATTTGGGAGGGTCCAGTGGTGGGATGATATATTTTGGTTCTGTGTCCCCACCCAAATCTCACCTTGAATTGTAGTTTCCATAATCCCCGTGTGCCATGGGAGGGACCCAGTGGGAAGTAATTGAATCGTGAAGGCACTTACCCTCATGTTGTTCTCATGATAGAGAATGAATCCTCATGAGATATGATGGTTTTATAAGGGGCTTTTTCCCCCTTTTCCTTGGCATTTCTTCCTGCCGCCGTGTGAAGAAGGACATATTTGCTTCTCCTTCTATCAGGATTGTAAGTTTCCTGAGGCTTCTCCAGTCATGCTGAACTGTGAGTCAATTAAACCTCTTTCCTTTATAAATTACACAGTCTTGGATATTTCTTAATTAGCATGAGAACGGACAAATATAAGCATGCAGCTTGATTTTGTTTTTTTATCAAGTATAATATGTCTGTCTCCAAAGTTTTTATTTATTTATTTATTTCATTATTATTATTTTATATATATATAATGGGCCAGGTGCAGTGGCTTATGCCTGGTTGTAATCCCAGCATGTTGGGAGGCTGAGGTAGATGGATCACTTGAGGTCAAGAGTTTGAGACCAGCCCGGCCAACATGGTGAAACCCCGTCTCCACTAACAATACAACAATTCGCCAGACATGCTGGCATACATCTGTAGTCCCAACTACTCAGGAGGCTGAGGCTGGAGAATCACTTGAACCTGGGAGATGAAGGTTGTAGTGAGCTGAGATCGCACCATTGAACTTCAGCCTGGGAGAGAGAGACTGTGTTTCAAAAAAATATATATATAATATAAATTTGAGCTTATATCTACCATATTTCTTTATGCTTCCAATTTGTTATACCTTTTGCATATTTTCTTTAATCTCTCATCATCCTTTTTGCCTTATATAAATTAATTTTTTCTCTTTTGATTTTTCTCTGCTACAAATTTTACAAGCTTCATTTCTATAATTATATTTCCAAAGTCTAAAAGCAGACTATATCTCTACTTTACTTCCCAATACTCTTGCTCAGCACTTAATTTTGGTTTTATATACTACTTTTACCAAACATTTTACCAAATATGTATCATGTGTGTTTTTATAGCCCTTGAAAATTAGATGTAGTTTTTATTGTCTTACTTGGTCAATATTTATATGGATTTATATCACAATACATTTTGTTCACCTTTCCTTCTATCTGAGGCCTCTTTATTTCTGCCTGAAGAACATATTTTAGAATTTTGTTTAGTGAGGAATCTCTCAGTAGTAGACACTCAGTAATTTATTTCCATGAAACAATTTATTTGTCTTTAATTTCTCCTCATTTTGAAACATACTTTCTTGAAGGGTGAATATTTTCTTCCATTTTTAAGCATGGGATCTGATTGTTTTCTGGATTGTATAGCTTCTACTGAGGTTTCAACCATTTTTTAATGATTTTTGTTTGTTTTCACTTCAGCTAGCTTTTGGTGCTTTCTCTTGGTCTTTTGCGTTCTATAATTTTCTGTCATTGATTTATAGGGCTCCTAGATTTAGCAAATAAAAATATAGCACACCCAGTTAAAGTTCACAAATTTGAAATTCACATTAATAATGTGTTTTTATTTTCCCTTTTCTTTCCTTTTTTTAAATATAAAAATTCCCCATGCAATATTGGTATATACTTATACTAAAGATTACATTCATTGTTTACGTAAAATTCAAATTTAATTGGATATTCTGTATTTTATTAGACATCTCCATTCATTTGGCTTTTTTCTGATGATTATCCAACATTTTTTGTATTTTATTATTGTTGACAATTTCATGATTCTGCAAACTTTATCTGGAAGAATTTTTAGAGGCTTGAGTTGACGGTGAATTATTGCAGAGAGAATTCACATTGACTTCTGCCATTTGTCCGTGGGCATCAAAAAATCCAGGACTACTTTTTCAAAAAGTTCAATCCTAAATTTTTATTGTTTAATTTCTTACACTTTGAGTCTTATTTTCTGATTTACTTATTTTAAATGCTTCACTAAAGAGTCTTATCAATTTGCATGGCCCTAGCCAATGCCTGTTTAATATCTCCAGTTAGATGTTTTATAGGCATTTCATCTCAAAACAACATATTCAAATTTAAACTGTTTTTCTCCTTTCATTAATGTAGTCTGCTTCCTCCCTTCTGAGTACAATTCCAGTTCACATTCAACTCTCATCTCAAGTATCCCAAATTTGGGGATTTCTGACTTCCCAGGAGGGATGAACTGATTGGTCCACTCAGTGCTGACGATCTACCCCTGGTCCAGTCACCTTGGCTAGACATTTAGGACTATAAAAATTAATGTACACTCAGAAGAGTTATGGGAACAAACTTTTTGAAAAGGGAAGACAGTTAACAAAAAGTAGAGTTATTATGTACCTGCCACATTAAAAAAAATCCAACAATTTTTCTAAAACCCTGTTGTTAAATCCAACAGTCATTTTTCAAAGACTCATTATTTGATGTATTAGCAATATTGGACACTTTACCACTCCTTCCTCCTGGAATCTTTTACTTAATTATTTTTTATTTGGTATCCAGAAAACCAAGGTCCACTGCTTTTCCTCTGAATCTATTGACTATTTCTTCACAGCCTCCTTTGCAATGTCCCTTTTCTCTTGATCTCTAATAGCTGAGATACTCACAGGCCCAGCTAGTTCTCAGACATCATCTCTTGTTCAACTATAATCAACCCTTTGATAATGTTATCCAAACCAGAGGCTTTAAATTACATCCACATGAGAGGATACTCAGTGTTTTGTTTTGTCTAGGGTTTACCCCTCTTCTTCAAATTTCCTATTAACATATCCAACTGCCCAGTTGACATCTCACTTGTACATCAAATAAACATTGTAAACTTCAAACATCCAAAACTGAGTTCATGATATTTCACTCCTAAACCTGTTTTTCCTGCAGTCTTCCCCATTTCAGTTATGGGTAAATACATTTTTCCAGTTGCTCCGTTCAAAAAGTCATAGTATTATTTACTTTTTGCTCTCAAACACTCCACACTTATCTGTCATCAAATCCTGTTTGCTTTCCCTTCAAATACATCCAGAACCTTACCGCTTCTCACCTTCTCTCCTGGTACTGCTCTAGCCTGTCATGTTTCTCCCGGATTATTGCAATAGTCTGCTTCTATTCTTGTTCCTCTTTGGAATCTTAAATATACAGTAGCCACAAGGATCCCTCCTCTGCTTTAAAACCTCCAGTGACTTCTCCCTAAGAAAAGCTAAAAAGTCCAAGTCCATTCTATGCTGGGCTGAGATTGTCATGGCCAAGCACACGTGACCTGCAGGCTCAGCTCCCTTTCTGTCTCTTGCTCACTCTTTCGAGCTACCCCAGCTTTCTTACGTTTCCTGGAACCCATCAGACCAGCTCGCACTTCAGGGGCCCTGTGCATCCTGATTTTGGCAATGTCTTTGCAAAAAAAGTAACTTAGCCAGGGTTTCTGGAGTAGAAGTAAAGATGCTCTCTTTCTCTGGTATGCAAAACAAGACCATTTGTGGGCACTCATGCTCCAGGTTTCGCTATCTTTTATAAACACCTGCACTCTGATTTGAAAGGTCAACTCCAATGTCATCCTGCCTTTGCAATGTCTCTTTTGTCACTCTCCCCAGTTATCTGCACAGCTCACTCTCTCACCTGCTTTAGGCCTTTACCCAAATTTCACATTCTCAGTGAGGCTTTCCATGGTGAACCTACGTAAAATTTCTTTCTTTCTTTTTTTTTTTTTTTCTGAGACAGAGTCTTGCTGTATCGCCCAGGCTGGAGTGCAGTGGCATGATCTCGGCTCACTGCAACCTCCGCCTCCTGGGTTCAAGTGATTCTCCTGCCTCAGCCTCCCAAGTAGCTGGGATTACAGGCACAAGCCACCATGCCTGGCTAATTTTTATATTTTTAGTAGAGACAGGGTTTCACCATGTTGGCCAGGCTGGTCTCAAACTCCTGGCCTCAGGTGATCCATCCACCTCGGCCTCCCAAAGTGCTGGGATTATAGGCATGAACCACCGCACCCGGCCATAAAATTTCACACCACTGAACATTTCCTATTTTCTGGTTCCTACTTTATTTTAGCATCCACTGCCTGCCATGCATTTCCTGTACCGTTTTATGTTTTGTGCTGTGCAACTTTCCCACTAGAATGCACACTCTTTGAGGGAGGGATGTTTTGTCTCTTTTACTAACTCTTATTTTAAATCTAGAACAGAGCATAATACGTGGGCAATGATTACTAAGTATTTTTTACATTACTAAAATCAATTATTAATAGATCATTTTGATTCCCACAACATAATTGGTAGATTTTGTTCTCAATTACTAAGTGAGACTCAAAGTTCAGAGATTGTTATTACTTGCTTACTCTGGTAAGAGCATACCTGGCATTCAAACTCAGACTTTATGACTTTGAAAGCTCTAGGCTTTTTTCACATTATTTCTCCAGAAGAGGCTAAGGATAATACCTTAAACCTATTAGGTGTTCACTAGATTCTTGTTGATAATAAGAGTTTAGGTAACTGTACTTTTATTTTTCATGATTTTTAAGCTTTGTTCATATCTTACTTATTTCATTTAAATGTTGGTGTCTTCCCTGAGAAGGAGGCAATAATTTAATTGTTTTTTGGTTCCCACTCCAAATTATGTGTCCTTTTCCAAGTAAGGAAGATAAATATCTTTTCCCCACTTCATTCTCTGAAACTTGCACCAAGAAGTCAGTACAAGATTTATTTGAAGTGCGTTGACCTTGGTCTAGCCATCATAAACAGGCTTTGCATTTCTGATTTCCTCCAAATTTTTAGTGACTTATTTCTGCAAGAAGTGCCAAATCTCTGTGCCTTCTTCTGTGTAACAAGAGTTAGATTACTTTATCAAAAATCTGGGATACTGAGTAAAGTCTTTCCTCTATTTAATGTCATCTTCTTCCACCTTTCCAAGTTTCTATGAATGGATTTTCCACCACTATCAAACACTGGGAAGCCAAGGAGCCTGGGTCCATGATTGATTAGGACTGCTGCCATATATAAGCCGGAAAATTTGTTCCCATGACAAGATAAGCACAGACAAGAGACTCGATCAATGTCAGCAGCTGCCTCATGTTAAAACATGTATTTTGGTCAGCAATTCTAAAAATGGCTAACCGGCTTTAGCAGAAAGAGTGCCTCGTGCGTTCTCCCAGAGCAGGAGGTGCACTCTTGATGGAAGTTTAGTGACTTTTTAGATAAGAGTGATACGTCTGATTGCTATTTAAAATGTCACCCTTGGTAATGACATTGTAGGGCTCTTTCATCAAAAAGAGATGTTAGTTCCTACCACCCACACAGCCAATTGGAACCCAGACATCTATTGATGAGGGTGCTGTGGTGTTGGAACTACAGGCTTCAAGACAGATGGCCCATTTGCTAGTTGCGCACACTTCCTTTGCTGCTGCAAGAAGAATGGCCACAGAAAGTCATTCTGTTGTTTGACTCATGAGTTGGGGATAAGATGGGCTTGTAGATGTACCATCATGCAGTAGTTTCTATCATGTTTCCAAAGTTAAAAGTAATTATTTTAAAAATCTGATATTTATTAAATGGTTAGCTATTTCAAACAGAGGAGTTGCTATGAAAATTAGGTCATGATGATCATGCAAATAACATCAATTCCTATTAAATGTCAAAGACTATGAAGAACAAAAAGATATTTCGCAAATGTTTTTATAGCTAACAAAAATATCAGCTCATCATGGCCTGAATCAGGAGAAATTCCCCATTCCCATTATACTTCTAACCACTTCCTCTTCTCCTCATTGAGGAGGGTGGTTAAAAATATCCAAAAACCATTCAAAGATAAACTTTATTTTCCCTTATAAAGAAATGCCTCTTTTAAAAACATTTTTGTTCTCATGATCATGTTCCTTAAGAGCACAAATTATTCTCCTATATCACTTGAATGGAGAAAGAAATACTGGCCCGTGTGCTTAAAGTGTCTTCTTTTGATAGGACTGAGTGTGGTTTTCCACTGGGCATTGTGCCCAGTTAATTGTAACTATTTATTCATCATTTTTTTTAAAATTGAAGCTTTTATTCTAGGCCCTTCGGAGATAATGGGACCACGTGTTCTTTTATCAAAATTATTCTGCCTCTTGAGTAAGTTAGCAAGGGTTTCTGGAGTAGAAGTAATAGATGCTTCCATTCTCCGGTATGAAAAATGAGACCATTTCTAGACAGTCTTGGTCCAGGTTCCTCTATCTTTTATAAACACCTGCACTATGATTTGAAATGTCAACTCCAATGTCATACCCTAGTGGAAGAAACTTCAGAATCACTTCCTCTATGCTTTTTTTTTTTTTTTTTTTTCTGAGACGGAGTCTTGCTCTGTTGCCCAGGCTGGAGTGCAGTGGCGTGATCTCGGCTCACTGCAAGCTCCACCTCCCGGGTTCACGCCATTCTCCTGCCTCAGCCTCCCGAGTAGCTGGGACTACAGGCACCCGCCACCACGCCCGGCTAATTTTTTGTATTTTTAGTAGAGACGGGGTTTCACCGTGTTAGCCAGGATGGTCTCGATCTCCTGACCTCGTGATCCGCCTTCCTCGGCCTCCCAAAGTGCTGGGATTACAGGCTTGAGCCACCATGCCCGGCCTTATGCTTTCTTAAAAATGCAGCTAATGCAATTTTCTTTCTCTGGTGAGGGATCTTTAGAAATGTGGAGGCAAATAACAAGTGACTTGAGTTGACAAATCATTGCGATGGAAAGCATAGAGAATTTCTAACATCAATTTTTAGATTTCTTTTTTAAACACGTCACAGGATATGCCACGAGCTGGGAGCTGTTGGGCTGGCTACTTAACCTTCTTGAGTCTCAGATTTATGCTCTGTGAACTCAGATTAATAGTATTTATCCTACCTCACATAGTTATTAATATTAATGCCTACCATTTATTTGCTGTTGGAGAATCTACAATAATGAAAATTCAGTGACCAAAATGACCAGACAAGAAATCGATTCTTAGGCTGGACAATGAATATTAAGCTTGTTCTTATCACTTTGCCTTTTGTAGCACAGGTGGAGAGCCTCCTTTTCTATGTTCTTTTCAAATTCAAAATAATAAAGGAGGCTTTCCTTGGCGAGGTTAGCATTCTGTCTATGTGCCGTGACTGCTTGCTGCAGTTTGTTTTGCCTTCTTTGGAAAACAAATAATGAACTAATTTGTTACTTAGTAGTGACAAATGAACTGGCAGGTGTATCAAGCAGTAAACCACTGTGCCCTGAACATTCACATATAGAAATACTGTACCAGGAATCAGTAAGCTTCAAGTCCCAAATGCAGATCTCACTGGAATATAACTGACATTATGAGACACCTATTAAAAAATATGTGAAGTACAGTTACTCCAGGGGGAAGCTGAAGTGTAAGATGTTTCCAGAATCTTGCAGACACTCTGAACGCAGACTGAACTGGGAAATGAGTGATGGGGACGAGGGCAAAGAGCCTGTTGAGCAGGCAGGCGCTGGCTAGGCTGGGTGGCTTTTCCTCCCTGGGGAGTCACTGGGATTCTTCCCCTTGAGAAATCTTATGATAGAAGGCACCCTTGGACCTCCTAAAATTAGGGGCCAAAAGTGCCATTGAAGTGATTTGGAGAGAACATGTGGAACTTCTTTTTAGCTCTTAGTGTATTCATGTGGGTAATGTGCTGAGAAGAAAGAGAAGGTGGATCATTTCAATGCATCCAGAGAGGAACTCCCTCTTCCTTTACCCTTCACCCCTTGCTCTCCTCCAACTTGGTTTCTTACCCATTGATGATTCCCCTTTATTTCCCTCTCACATTTGTTGCATCTGCCCTCATCTCATGAATACTGCTGGCACTGAGGCATTTTCTACCTGTGACACATGGCCCTAGATCACTGTGATGGCCTCTCACCTTCAATTCGGCCTCATGCACTTCAAGCACACCCCTGATTTGAGGCACTAACCTGTTCCGAAACCCTCAGTAGCTCTCCATTCAAGTAGAGAATATGTAGTCCAGAGGCCAAGTGCAGTGGCTCAGACCTGTAATCCCAGGACTTTGGGAGGCCAAGGCAGGAGGCTCACTTGAGCCCAGGAGTTCCAGACCAGCCTGGGCAACACAGCCAGATCCAATCTCTAGAAAAACATTTTAAAAATTACTCAGGCATGGTGGCACACACCTGTGGTCTCAGCTACCTGGGGGGCTGTGATGGAAGGATTGCTTGAGTTTAGGAGGTTGAGACTGCAATGAGCTATGATTGCGACACCATACTCCAGCTTGGGTGACAGAGTGAACACAGTATCAAAAGAAACACAGAAAAAAAAGAAAAGAAAAGAAAAAGAAAGAAAAAAAAAGAAAAGAAAAGAGAAAAGAAAAGGAAGAAGAAGCAGAAGCAGAAGAGTAAGAATAAGAATAAGAGGAAGAGAAGAAGAAGAAGAGGAAGAAGAAGAAAGAAGAAGAAGAAGAAGAAGAAGAAGAAGAAGAAGAAGAAGAAGAAGAAGAAGAAGAAGAAGAAGAAGAAGAAGAATTATTAATAATAATCCAAACTGTCTACTTTCATATTGCCAACCCTCAATGACCTGGGCCTGTCTCCTTGCCTAAATCTTATTTTCATTCCCTTTAGGGGCTCTTTGTGTCACAGGAGTGGAGCCATTTCTTGTTTCTTGTTTTGGTTCCTCATTCTACACACTCCTGGATGTGTGTGGCATGTACTGTGAGCTTCTGTTACAGCTTATTTTGCCTTACTTGGAAATTAAGAGAAAGATCTCTTCCATGATTGTATTAATTCAGTCCGCTCTAACTCACTGGATTTTCCCAGAGGTTCCCTCTGACTCTTCACCTAAAATCTCACCCCCCATCCAACCATCAGACCCAATACCAGTGCTGCCTCTTCTCTACCTTCATCACTGTACCCTCCTCTGCCCAAAATGAAAGCAGCCCTCATTCTCCAAATCCCCATGACAGCTTAACTGTAGATTTTTAAGGCAAAACATATTTTACCATATATTTTAGAATTGTATGCACCTGTCATATTTCCTTTCAGAGAATAAACTCTTTGTGGTCAAGGTCCATCTCTAATTTATTTTGTGTTCCTCTTTCAGTTAATTACATATGGTTGGCACTGGCTAAATATTTGTTGAATAAAAGTGTTGCCATTTTGCTTTTCCATGTTCTGATTTGGAAATGCCACAGTGCATGGGTATATGTGTTTCATTTTCACAAAGCTCTGTGCTTTTAAATTCTGACCTGAAACAGAAGTTAAGATGTAGATGTTATAGAATATTCATATACTTATGTTATTATATCTTATCCCCCAAACTGTTCTTTAAATGGCTTAGCTGACTACATGGATTGCCTTTGTTTTAAGGATCATTTAAACATAATCTTCCTCCCCTCAAATTATTTCAACCACTGTGATCTTTTGCTGACCTACTTTTGAACTAGTAAAGGAAACCTTTTGAGAGCCAACGTTTGTTATTGCAGATGAGATAATGTTGTTGTCATAGTTATAGGCTACTATAGGCCATTTCCCTCACAAAATCCAAATTAAATAACAAGATTCAAATTGTTTCACACATTTCCTCTTGAAGTTCAAGAGGTATCCCCCACAAATAACATACATAACATACCTCTTTTATATCTGCATTCTGAACTGACAAAGAAATAAAACCCAGACATTAGGCAGTTGGGAGAACAGAATATTACTTTTATTACTAATGAATCTGATGATACAGACGGGGATTCCATGCATGGATAAGTGGTATTCTGGTATCAGAATCACTGGTTGAGATGGATTGATTACCTACTCACCAAAAGTGCTGGACCCAGGTGGGCATCTACCCACAAGGTTGGTGCTTGGGTTCCAAAACACTTGGCCTAGAGAAACCAAGAAGGGACCTTGTGCATGGGGGGCCAGCAGCTTCACTTGGAAGAGAGAGGGGCATGGCTGGCTGATTCACCTCATTTGTCTTTCCAAACTGAGCAGTCGGATGAATCACGCCTCCTCTACTGGCTGAGGCTGGAGTGGAGAGTTGGAGGGTGACTAGTGACCACAAGTGTCCCCCAGGCAAAAGGTTGTCCACATGGACAGGATTGGGAACCAAGTATCCCATCCCCCAACACTTGCTCCCTACATGACTACGGTAGAGTCCACAGAACAAAGGTGTTTGGCTTCTCTCTTTCTATAAAGAAGACAAGACAAGATTGAGATCACTTCACAACCACTGGTGATGTGACTTTAACAAATCAATAAACCTCTTAGTTTCATCAAGTATAAATGAGAATAAAATAACATTAATAAGAATGAGAAAATAATATTTAAAAAGCACTTTCTAAACAATAACATTTCTACAAAAAAGATAAATATAAAATTTATGTTTCTTCTATTGATTTCCTTTGGTAATTAATATTATGAAATAGAAAAAAGTCAGCATGGACTATATCTTGTACTTCTGAGATTATTTAAAATAAAAACTAGGCCCTCATCCACTTTAATAAGATAGAGGAAAACATAAAATCAAATGTATTAATCAGAACTATAAATTCAAGTAAATAAATGACTATGAAAAGATAAAAACTGTCAAATTACAAGGAAACAAAGTCTAGCAATATGTTATTTTAAAGAGACAAACCTAAAAGATTGGAAAATGCAATTAAAAAATTGATTAAGAAAGAAGTATATAATAGCAAAAAGCTACAATTTTCAAATAAAATATAAAAACTGAAAATTTATGCCTACAAAAACTCATAACATTCTTAGGATTTTATGGATTAAAAAGTGGACAAGAATAAAGTATTTGTAAAACAAAAATTCCAATCTAGAATTTATGTACACAAGCCCAGACATTTGTGATATTTCACAAATAGCTATGATTTAGCCCAACCAAGCAGAAAACACAAGCTCTTTTCAAATGCCTATCCAGTGATACTCTTATAATCTGAGAGCTTATTTTGTAATATAATAATATATTTAAATGAGAGCATTTTTTTGTTAAACCTTCAGAGAAAATTAGATGGCTCCCATTATTATATTTGTTTTCATGGCTGTCAAGAGTTTTCCTTCATAGAAGTTTATAGGTGTTCTGGTATTTATCCACCAAAGCTTTGTGATTTAATGCAATAACAATCATTTATTTTGCCACAATCTGAAATGTGGACAGGGCTCAGCAGGAATGGTTCATCTTAGCTCCATGTCATGGAACTTATTTTCTCACTCATATGGCTGACAAGTTCCTGCTGGATTTTGGCTGGAATTTCAACTGGGATTCTTGGTGGGGGTCCTGCTTTTTCTCCAAATAAGTCTCCCTGTTTAGCTGCTTATGCTTTCTCATGGCATGGCAGCTGGGTTACACAGCAAGTGTCCCAAAGGAGAGAAGTGGAGGTTACCATTCCCTTAATGTCTCAGCTTGAAAACTGACACAACCTGTCTTTCACTGTTCTCTGTTAGGCAGGCATCATGAAGCTTATGCAGAAAACAATGGGGTAGAAAATAAGCCCACACCTTTAAAAGCATCAAAAAATTGACAGCTACTTTTAATCTGTCCCGGTAGCACTTTATGTACTTGTTTCTTTTCTTTTCTTTTAATATCTTAGTCTTTTCTACCAGTCTAAAAGCTCACTGAGTGAAAGAACAGCATCTTATTTCTGTAGAAAAATCACTGTGGCATAATAAGACCACAAAAATACAATTATGATTCAACTGAATGACAATTAGAACAAAATCTACATGATTTTATACTTAGAAAAAATAGAGCAGATATCATGATATCACAGCACAATTTGGTCTGACAAATGCCAGCCATACAATGCCCAGCTCAATGTCTAGTGCATAGATGTAATGTGATGAATGAATAAGACAAGAGTAAATATAATTCAAGCTCATGGCCATATTACCTTGCATCTTTTTTTGGAAGCTTCCTTCACCATAAGATTTTTTTTATTTTTAGTTTTATTTTTTATTATTATTATACTTTAAGTTCTAGGGTACATGTGCACAACGTGCAGGCTTGTTACATATGTATACATGTGCCATGCTGGTGGGCTGCACCCATTAACTCGTCATTTACATTATGTATATCTCCTAATGCTATCCCTCCCCCTCCCCCTACCCCATGACAGGCCCCAGCATGTGATGTTCCCCATCCTGTGTCCAAGTGTTCTCATTGTTCAATTCCCACCTATGAGTGAGAACACGTGATGTTTGGTTTTCTGTCCTTGCGATAGTTTGCTGAGAATGATGGTTTCCAGCTTCATCCATGTCCCTACAAAGGACATGAACTCATCCTTTTTTATGGCTGCATAGTATTCCATGGTGTATATGTGCCACATTTTCTTAATCCAGTCTATCATTGATGGACATTTGGGTTGGTTCCAAGTCTTTGCTATTGTGAATAGTGCCACAATAAACATACGTGTGCATGTGTCTTTATAGCAGCACACCATAAGATGTTTAACAAAGATTTTTATATCAGAAAACAAATAAACAAACTAATGTATGTTGCTAAATAACCCTTGGCATTACAAACAGCTGTAGTTTAAAAAGGAGGATAGACTTCTTTTAGAATATATTTCTTTTTTAAGAAAAGAAAATTTCAGTGTATTTCCACCAAGACTGTGTAAGTACTTGCAGGGCTTATTACCTTTTGTCTAACGCAGAAAATAAGATTCATTCTCCTCTGCCTCACAGAAATGGTGCATATTGTAGTCATCTGGAGGTGTAAAAGGGAAAACCTTGCAACTTGCTTATTGTGTAGTTTTAGGTCATCTCATTCTGTTCAGCATTTTCTGTTCCGCATTTAATATTTTTTTTCTTAGCTTTCTTTCCATGTTTGCCATTATGTTATAAACTAAATTGTGTCCCCAATAATCAAAAAATTGTATGTGGAAATTCTTACCCCAACACCTCAGAATAAGTGATGGACTGAATGTCTGTATTCACCCTAAGTTCATATGTTGAAACCCTAATCCCCAATGTTGCAGTAACTAGGTCGTGAGGGTGAATCCCTCTTGAATGGGGTTAGTGCTATATAAGAAGAGACACAAGAGAGGTGATTTTTCTCTCTGCCATGTGAGGCCACAACCAGAAGATGGCCATCTGCAGACCAGAAAGAGACTCTCACCAGACACTGATCTGCTGGTGCCTTGATCTTGGACTTCCTGCCTCCAGAACTCTGAGGCACAGCCTAGGGTATTCTGTAATAGTAGCCAGACCTGGCTAAAACAGAATGTGACCGTATTGGGAGACAGTCTTTCAAAAGGTAACTAAGTGGAAAGGAGGTCATTAGGCTGGGCCAAATCTAATATGAGTGGCATCTTTATAAAAAGAGGAAATTTGGACACACGTACAGAGGGAAGATTAGGTGAGGACACAGGGACAAGGCGGCCATCCACAAAGTAAAGGAGAGAGGTCTGGAACAGATCCTTTCCTCACAGCCTCAGAAGGAGCCAACCCTGCCAACATCTTCACCTTGGACTTCCAGCCTGCAGAAATATGAGAAAATAGATTTCTGTTGTGTAAGCCACCCAGTCTTTTGTATTTCGTTATAGCAGCCCTTGCATGCAGTATACTCTATCTTTATAGTTAGATGCAATAAACAGAAACATTCTTCATTGCATAAGCAGAACTTGATGGTATTTCCCTAGTAACTTTGTTCTCCAGCTTATTCCCCAAAGACCTCTGCAGGAGAAGGAGTGAAAACTAAAAAACATATATGTTCCCAATTTTGCAAATCAATGAACCTGAGTTTTTCTTTAATGACTATTTTCAGTGTCACCGTTCATGTCAAATTACGATAGTATTTTGAAGTGTGATTCTATGAATGTCCAAGTTTTTGGAATAAAGAAATCTGCAACTGCTCTATTCAACATCCACAGAACTTCTGACTCTAGTCTAGCAGTCGACACACCTGGATCAATAACAGGACATTATTTAGTGTCCCTTTAACATGAAAGAGACAATTCTTGGCCAGCTGCTGCCTAGTAACGCTGATCTGTTACAGGCTGTGCAAAGTGATGAATGATGCCTCAGCAGACTCAGCTGGGCGGTGCAAGGTGGAACGCAAACTCGGCTTCACTGCCTTTCTGGGTCTGAAAATGTTCAGTTTGTTTTTGTTGAGAAACAAACCATGCCAAAACATAGTAGTTTGACAAATACACATCTTTTTAGCTTACGGTTCTGGGTAACACTCAGTTTAATGGTTCTTCTAGCCTGAGTAAAGCTCCTTTATACATCTAAGGTCAACTGCCAGGCTAATTGTGGGCAGGCAGAGGTCATCCTCAACTGGGACCTGGCCCCCATCCTCACCATGCCAGTGTGGGCTGTTCACACAGTGGAGAGGGGCTTCCAAGAGAGGAAGTGGGATGTGCACGCCTCTTGGGACTTGTCTCAGAGCTAGCGCCAGTTCACATCTAGTGTATTCTTTAGGCCAAAGGGAGGGACAGAGCCAGACCAGATTTAAAGAATAGGAAAAGAGCCTCCACTTCTTGTTGGCGGAGGGGGAGGGATGCTGTAGTCACATAAGAATCACATAAAGGCACAGGCATGGGATGTAAAGTGTTTTGGCCATTTGTGCAATCTACTACATTATCTGGACTGCAGGGATAGTTTATTGCTATTCTTAGGATTTTAAGAAGTAAGATGATGATGATGATGATGATGATGATTATTATTATTATTATTGAGACAGAGTTTCCCTCTTGTTGCCCAAGCTGGAGTGCAATGGCACGATCTCAGCTCACTGCCACCTGCCTGCCTGGTTCAAGCTATTCTCCTTCCTCAGCCTCCTGAGTAACTGGGATTACAGGCATGCAGCACCACGCGCAGCTAATTTTGTATTTTTAGCAGAGACGGGGCTTCTCCATTAGGTCAGGCTGGTCTCGAACTCTTGACCTCAGGTGATCTGCCCGCCTTGGCCTCCCAAAATGCTGGGATTACAGGCGCAAGCCACCGCACCCAGCCAAGATTATTTTTTTAGAAAGAAAATGTTCACATGCCATAGAGTTACAGCCACAGTGGCCCTTTTGGGCAAGGCACTTACCTCAGAAATTGATGTTATGACTACATGTTATTTTTGCTTTTTGGATGGCCCAGCCCATGTTTCTGGCTTCTCGAGTTAATAAAAGGTGGAGTTAACACTGGCTGACTGCTGTGTGCTAGGCACTGAGCTGTATCAGCTCGTTTTAAATGCTCACTCTCTGGTGCTGCAGGTTGGGCTCCGAGAGGCCAGCACCCTACTCGCTGCCAGGTGGGCTCCTCCTACTGTGTCCCTGCCATCTGACGGACCCCTCTTGGAGAGCTATACAAGAATATCCATTATGATTCTGTGCTTCTATCAGCCTTGCTGCCTTACAAAACCGGTTTTATTTAAGTTGTCAGTTTCCCCTGGATGAAATATCAGAAGCTCACTTTTAAATATTCCATTCTTTCCTGGCGTTGGCTGGCTCTCTGTTTTGGATACAGTTGACTTTTAGCACATTGGGTGGAGCATGAGATTCAGCTGTTTATTTTTTATTTTCCTCCTTATCTATGGCAGAATATTACACTCCCAAAGCAGTGAGAATAATAACATCTTCGCTACTCTGTAATTGATTAGTAATTCAGTTTCCTAGTTGAGGCAGATCACCATGGTTAGACCATAATTTCTTTCATCTCCAGTGTAGCAGGAATAATTACCACCAGACCTACAGATAGTGGAATTTTAAAAGGTGATTCTGATTTATAAATCAGGATGTTACATTCCTGCTCTTGCGTGATGGCTACAAAACTGTGGAGGATATTCTGGAACTTTACTCATCGGGAGCTCAAGTAGCTGGAAGTGGAGACACACTGAGAAGAAACAAAAACAAAAACAGAAACAAAACACACACGCAAAAAAAAACCAAAAAACAAACAAAAAGATAGCCGTAACACTGTCTGTACTTTTTACTGTGTCATTGTCACTATATAATTGGCTACACTCAGTGTCCCTGTGTATTCAGCACCTATTTAAAACATTTAATAGTCCAAGGGTGGCAGCAGAGTGGGAAGAGATGCCTTGGGTACCCACTTACCAAATGTTACACCTGTGCTGTCTGCTATACTTTGGCTGTGGAATTACTGAGGTGACAGCAGCTGTTCTCAGAAAGCTTGGTGATATAACCTTTGGTCTCAGCAATGCTAAGTACCTTATATCAAATTTTTTCATAACCATTTATGTTTGAATAACTGTTGGTAGTACACAAGAGCCTCATCTGTCTGATCTATTTTTACATCACAACACCCATATGGGGCAGTTAGTAAGGCCCATTTGAGCAATAAGAAAACGTATGCCAGATAGGCTGCATAACTCTCCGCCGTCCCAGGATGAATAGGCAAAAACCACTGGATAGTGGTTAGATTATAGGAACTGGAGTTATTCTACCGACATTCCACTTGGGGATTTGTCACTTACAAGCTCTGTAAAGTTGAGTGAGTTATTTAATCTTCCTGTGCCTCACTGTTTTCTTCCAGAAAATCATACTAGTACTTTATTGACAAAGCTGTTCTGAGGAGTAAATGAGTTGCTGTATCATAAAACACTTAGAACATTACATAGCACATGGTTAATATAATAAAAGAGTTAGCTATTATGATAACTCTCCCTAAGTGATTTTCTGTTTTTCTCTGACTCACATCCCATGTAATTTTTATAAATACATTTGTTCAAGACAAAAGCTAATGGTGATTAATTTTTGAACAATTCATCAATGATTTCCCACAAGAAAATGACCCACAACATGAAATAGCCAATTGAGGACGTATGGATATCTTTTGTTTGACTCATGTATATTTTTAAAAAATTGTCAACATTTAAGCACTTATAGATTTCACATAAAATGTATATATGTCTTTCTTTGAATATAAATGGTAATAGCTAATAACACAAAGACACATTCTGCTTGAATTGAATTGCAGCATCCCATCCCCCACATCTTTTCAAGGAAGGCCTGGTCCTCTCTGATGGTTCACTCTGACCCTTCACTCCCTTTTGTTATTTCTGGCCCACTTTATCCACACTGATGTTACCTGTTTGGTCCCTGCAACAATTTGAGTTTGTAACATTTTCTCTAGAAAACAGGATCCTCAGAAACAACATTTTTGAGAGTGAATATCTAGAGAAAGGGGAGAACAATTATACAACATGCACCATGGTCTTCAGGAAGAACAAAGCCTACTCAACCTTTGACTTCACTTCCTTCCTAGACTTTTAACCTATACTTTGACTTCTATAGAAGTAAATTTATTTGTAAATTTCTGACCTAATTCCATTGCGGCTCTCATCAGTGTTTCTTCTTGCAACGGTAATGACAGAGAACAATGTTTTAGGAATAGACTCATAAGTAAAATGGCAAGTACATGTACTTTTGGTTCCCAGAGATCTCTCTCTCCACACTGAACGGTGGTCAGTGACATTTGTTGTTAGCCACTGCACTGGTGACCAAGATGGTACACAACTTAAAACTTTTCCCTTGGCTTTTCTGCCAAGCTTATGACCTCCAATGTCAAAGCTTTGTCCTGCTTCAAAAATATAAACTTCATGGAAACTCCACCCCATTGCTGCTTTTGTCATGGTTTTGGGTTAGTTATTTATTTATTTATTTATTTATTTATTTATTTATTTATTTTTTGGAGTTGTTGTTGTTTTTGTTTGCAAGGCTCTCTAAATAAATTAGATATCTGGCAGGTAGTTGGGTGTGATGACCCATGATGTATGCACGATGAAAACAGTTTCCATAGAGGTTCCTGGCTTTGTTTCCTTCTTACCTAAATGGAGGAGGTTTGGGAACCATCCTGTAAATGCCATGCAGGTAAGCCTACTACAGGCCGAAGAACTCACTGGTAATGTATATGACAGAGTCTGTCACATCTAATTATTTCTCAAGAGAAGGACTTTCTAATAACCCAATTTTCTAATAACCTACCTGACATGACATTTACACGTGGATGTATCACCTTCAACTACACCTGACTTTTCAAAATTAAAAAACTTGTCTACTCATTACTGCAGACATCCTGGCTTCTGTGATTCACAGAGTGGCCCAGCCATGCTCCTGGTCACCAAGTCTTTCCTCTGCTCTTTAGCACCTGGCTGAGTCCTGCAGGTTCAGGCTCTGAAAGGAGTATTTTACTTATGTCCAACACTCAGGTTCTAACTCAGGATCTGTATCCTCTCACATGAGGTGCAATATGTCAGCCTACCTTTCTTCCCCAAATATCTCAGCTTTTTAATCCATCAGCTCATCTGCCAAGATGCCATCCCGAGACGGGAGTGACCTCAGTGGTCTCTCGCTGCCTGCAAACTAAAACCAAGTCTTCTTATGATGACAGTCATAGGTTCTTTGATGTGGTCCTATGTTACGTGTCCAGCTTCAGGCTCTATTTCTTTTTTTTTATTCATCATTTAACGGATGTTCACTGGGCATGCACTATGGGTCAAGCTCTGAGCTATGTATTTGAGATAAACTTGTGAACAACATAGAGAAAAATCTCTTTCCTCATGTTGTTTGTAGGTAGCAAACTATGGCTGCATGCCACCTGTTTTGTAAATAAAGTTTGACTGGACCCCAGCTATGCTCACCATGTCCGTGTTCTCTAGAGTCTAGGCTGTTTTTTCTACTATGGCTGTAGAGTGGCTGCAATAGATACCTCGTGGCCTGCAGAGGCTGTAACACTACTACAAGGCCCTTTACAGGAAAGTTTTGTGGACCCCGCCCTAAATGCATGTGGACAGGCTGAGCCCTATTCCCAGTGCCTTGGCTGTGTCCATACAATTCCCTCAACCCAGAATTCCTATTTTCCTCCCAACATATTAAAATCTTATTCTTGTTACAAGGGGCATTTCAAAATTTCTGTTCATTATAAAGCCATTCTTGGTTTTCTGAATCCAAATGGCCTCTTTCTCTTTACTCCAACACTGCCCTGTTTTTCCATCTCTTTTTTCTTATAATGTCAGAAATTATGTGCTGGTCTACTACCCTTCTAAATATGGGGTTCTGGGATAAGGGACTGATATGGTTTGGATCTGTGTACCCACACAAATCTCACCTTGAATTGTAATAATCCTCACATGTCAAGGGTGGGACCAGGTCGAGGTAATTGAATCATAGGAGTGGTTTCCCCTGCTGTTCTCATGATAATGAGTGAGTCTTATGAGATCTGATGGTTTTATAAGCGTTGGCATTTCCCCTGCTGGTCCTCATTCTCTCTCCTGCTGCCCTGTGAAGATTTGCCTTCTGCCATGATTATAAGTTTCCTGAGGCCTCTCCAGCCATGCAGAGCTGTGAGTCAATTAAACCTATTTTCTTTATAAATTACCTAGTCTCGGGTATTTCATCATAACAGCGTGAGAATGGACTAATACAGGGACCATATTGGACTCATTTTACATGTACCCTCTACCTCTAATAGAGAAGGCAGCAAACTCAGCAAAAATCAAATGCCAAAAGTTTTCTGAAAGAACCAAGAATTTTTCTGTTATCACCTGGCAGGGAATGTAATTATATAACATTATGTATGTATACATAATGTTAAATCAAGTTTAGCCTAAATCTAACAAATTATATAACATTATATATGCATATATAATGTTAAATCAAGTTTAGCCTAAATCTGCCTCCTTATAGTAATTTTAAATTTGGCCTAACAGTTTCTTGGTACATCATGAACTATAACCTAAATGGATTTGTATACAGACTGTAGCCTATTCTTGTGTCAATCACTGAGTTTTGACTAATCAAAGGTGGCCAACTGTTCAAACCATGTTCAAATAAGGCAAACATCAACCTGTAACCAATCTGGCTGTTTCTGTCCCTCACTTCTGTTTTCTGTACATCACTTTGCTTTTTCTGTCCATAAATCTTCTACCGCATGGCTGTGCTGGAGTCTCTGAGCCTACTCTGGCTTGGGAGACTACCCGATTTGCTCTTCAATTAAACTCTTTTGAATTTAGTTCAGCTAGTTATATATTATATATATTCATAATAATATATAATTATATATATATATAGCATACTCTGTCTCTCTGGGCTAAAAATTATACCTCAGTGTGATAGTGTGACATCCTTCAGCATGGGTCATCCTGTTCTCTCACCCAACAGAGTGATCAATGGACCCTTTCATTTCCCCCAACTGGACTGCTGCAAAAAAAAATCTCTATCATTTTAGGTTATTATTTATAATTATTATTTTAACCAATTGACCCAGTAATGAGCCAATTTATTCTTTCATGTCTTACTTGTTAGATAAGCAAAATTAGACCTTGAATTCCTGAAGACAGAAACGCTGATGAAATTAGTGCCGCAGATGTGTTCTTAGTCGGGGCATCTCCTTGGCTCTAAGGAATGTAAGTTTTTGTTTCCCAAAAGATAAGGCCCCTAACTGGTTTTAATAACTGTGCAACCTCCAGAAAGCTTCTGTGAAAGTACAGCTTGTTAGATGTACAGAAGTCACAGCAAACTCCAAAGATGTTGTTTAATTATTTGTCCTTTCCTAGAAAAATAAAATTTGAGGGCTCTAATTCAGCTTTACAAATGTTTTTCAAATCACGTTTGATTCACAAAGTCCCTGTGAACCATCAAAATGTGTGGTGGATTGTGAATACTTAGGGCTGCTTCCCACCTGATTCAGCCATCGCCACTTCCTCTTCCATGACATTGTGAAAACACAGACATCTGGCTGCAGGAGATACACACGAATCCCCGCAGAGGCAGTGGTCCATGGCAACCTTCAGATAATCTGTAGCAGGATTTTTCTGTTTTCTGGAATGCTTGTACATTTCTTACAAGCAATTATGCTGACTCTACAGTGATTCAAATTGCCCCTTAAAACAGCTGTAACAACCAAACCAAGAGCTATCTTCCAATAATATTGGCTACAGAGAGAGTCATAGATTTTCAGGAAAATACACCAAGCAAGTAACATAATTGAGAAGCTAAATGACATGTTTGGTACAGTTGCCAAACTGCTCTTTTCTAAGAGTGAAGTGCAGTGACACAGGTGGATTTTCATATGGAGCAATAATGTCTTTAACATAATTTATTTTTTATTTTTAAAGTGACAGGGCCTCACTATGTCACCCAGGCTGGTCTGGACCTCCCGGGCTCAAATGATCCTCCCATGTTGGCCTCCCAATGTGCTGGGATTACACGTGTGAGCCTCCATGTCTGACCTCTTTAAACATTTTCTACATTAGTACGCTTTTGACATAGATGCATTATGTAAGTATGAGAGAAGGTACTCATGTTCTCATAGAATTCTAACCTCTGACTTTTATAATTTAACAATTTTTTTTGCAAATATGACAGAAGCAAATAGACATTATCTAATGTGTCACCTAGGAGGTTATGTGGACTTCAGTCCTGTTAGCCACACATGCGGCTTAGTGCCTGACTCACAGTGTGAATATTGAGAGGTGAGGCTAGCTGGACTTGCTGGGTTGAATGGGGACTTGGGGAACTTTCCTTCTTACCAGAGGATTTTAAAACGCACCAATCAGCACTCTGTAAAACACACCAGTTAGCACTCTGTAAAAAGCACCAATCAGCAGGATCCTAAAAGTAGCCAATCGCAGGGAGGACTGAAAAAAGGGCACTCTGATAGGACAGAAATGGAACATGGGAGGGGACAATAAGGGAGTAAAAGCTGGTCACCTCACCCTGCAGCAGCAACCCGCTCGGTGCTATGGAAGCTTTGTCCTTTCGCTCTTCACAGTAAACCTTGCTGCTGCTCACTCTTTGGGTCCGTCCATGCCATCTTTAAGAACTGTAACACTCATGGCAAAGGTCCGCAGCTTCAATCTTGAAGTCAGCAAGACCATGAACACACCAACTCCGGACACGATATTACAAACAATTCCAGGCACAGATGTACTTGTGGCCAGTTACTTTGCTAATATTGTTTCCTTTATATTATTTCCTAAATTCATGGTATCTCCTATAGTATGTTAATATTACTGTTTCATTTTTATTTCCTACCAAATCTTTGCACAGTATGCCTTTCTCCTCTGCATTAGCCTTGTCATGAGTTGAATTATGTCTCCTCCAAGAAAAGACATGTTCAAGTCCTAAGCCCTAGTATCTTGCAACCTGATCTTATTTGGAAATACAGTCATAGCAGATGTAATTAGTTAAGTTGCAGTTATATTAGAGTAGGCCTCTAATCCAATATGACTTGTGCCCTTATTGAAAGAAAGCTGTGTGAAGAGACAGAGACACAGGGAGAAGGCTGTGTAAAGGTGGGGGTGGCAGGGATACACCTACAAGCCAAGGAACACCACCAATTGTCAGCCAAGAACCGGAACTTAGGAAGAGGCAAGGAAGAATTGCTCTACAGATTTTAGAGGGCATGGACTTACCAACATTCTAATTTCAGACCTGTAGCCTACTCTGAACCTGAGATGTAAGTTTCTTTTTTTGAGATGGAGTCTTACTCTGTTGCCTAGGATGGAGTGCAGTGGCATGATCTCAGCTCATTGCAACCTCTGCCTCCCAGGTTCAAGCCATTCTCCTGCCTCAGCCTCCCAAGTAGCTGGGACTATAGGCATATGTCACCATACCCAGCTAATTTTTGTATTTTTAGTAGAGACAGGGTTTTGCCCTGTTGGCCAGGCTGGTCTCAAACTCCTGACCTCAAGTGATCCACCTACTTCAGCCTCCCAAAGTGCTGGGATTACAAGTGTGAGCCACTACCCCAGCCCAAGATGTAAATTTTTGCTGCTTTAAACCATCTCGTTTATGACACTGTTATGGCCACTCCAGGAAACTAACACAAGACCCAGGTATGGGCTTGCTCTTCTGTTCTGTGATGTCCTCCTTGGGCCTCCAGATCCACTGCGTGCTCTGCTCCAAGAGACTGACCAGGACAGCTGCAATCAACACACACAACTGTCCTCAAACTTCCATCTGGCTTTGGCCCATGGGGAGCCCAGGAAGGAGATTAGAGTGAGGAAGGTTGAGGTCAGTTATTTATTACTCAAGTCCCCTCCCTGTGAGGTTGCGTGGGCTTGCTTTTCTTGACTCAGAATCATGAACACAGAAAGTGATCTGTTTTTCATTTCCCCAAGGATTGTACAAAACTAGTGCTATTCTGGCAGCAAAAGAAAGAAGTTGATTCATTACATATGACGGGTGCTGGAGCATGCAGGTCTCACTTCTCTCACTGGTCAATTTCCTCTCATAATGGTCTTCTCCACAGTTGCCTCCTCTTCCCGGTTGTCTCCAGGTTCCAGTACTGCCCCTCCCCTAGGTTTAGGCATCTGCTGCCCCACCAGGATTAGCCCCACACTGCTGCATTAACCATTGGGACTCCCTGTACTCCATTCATATCCTTGTAAATAGATTCTTTGGTAAATATTTCTTAATCTGTACTAACATGAGTTCAGAGAGATCCGTTTCCTTCTGAGACCTTTACTGCTGCAATGCCTCTTTATCAGAAACATAATTAAAATATGTTCACCATTTGGCCTCTCTTCAGTTTCCTCTCTTGGAATTGCCTTCCTTTCTATAGCCATCTGTCAAATCTGGCAACTCCTGCTTCCAAAGGAGATTTCAGGCCAACCTCTACTGAGGGCTAGTCTGGGAGGGGACCTGAATGAAGTAGGAGGTGACGGCTAGCTGATGAGCAACACTGCAGAGGGAGGGGCTACCAGTAGCTAAGACCACAGAAACAGCACAGGCAGAGGGCACACCAATGATGAAACAGTCCTAACTGTTAAAGCAGATAGTAAAGGCTAGCGGATGCTGGAATTGAGGTGTGGACCAACTCCATAGGGATAAGAGGGAGCGGAGCTGACAATGGCTGACAAATCCAGGAAATGTACCATTAGATAAGGAGTTTAAGGTCCTTTGTTTTGCGTCTCTGTCTAGTGTATGTAAATTTTGTCTCTCCTAATTCCTAAGGGAAAAATAGAGGCAATACCTAAGACTTTGTATTATTTAAAGACTAGACTAATTTTCATTCCCTTTAGAAAACTACCTTATATTCTTCTTTCATATTTAGAATTAATCTCTTCTCCCGTACTTCCATAGTATGAGAATTCTGCTTAATGTGAGTTAACAACTATTATATTATCACACTATAATGGATTTATTTAGAGTAGTTTTTGAAGTTAGTTACAAGTTCATTCTAAGACCAATATCATGAGCAGAGATACTGAGACCACAGTAAATTGCTGAAGTTAGCTGATGACCAGGTTGTTGTTCATTATAACTAAGTGTGCCTTATTCACTCATTCAACATCTTCAAAACACTGCTGGAGCCATCCTTTCCTCCCTCTTTCTCTATGTCCTACACTGACTGCTTCTCATTTCTGGAATGTTCTTCGTTTCATATATCTCATGGCTCACTCCATTACCTCTTACAAGACATTACTCAAACATTCTTTTCTCAAAAAGGCCTATCCACCATACCTACTCAGAAATGCAACATCCTCCTTTCTTTAAGCTTAAGCACTTTCGTTTTCCCTTAACATACTTACTTTTTCATTTCTCTTACAGCAATTATCATCCTGTACCATATTATTTAATTTCTGTATCTATTACACTTATTACTTATTGCATATCTTTCTCCAGTAGGATGCATGCATCTGTGAGGGCAGGGATCTCAGATTATTTTGTTCAGTGGTGTGCTCTAAGTGTTCCAAATAGTGCCTGGCATAAAGTACATGCCCAATAAATAATTTCAATAAATATATGGAGTCTAATGAACTAGCCCACTGCAACAGTACCTTACCTTCAGGTCTGATGTGTAGATAAGTTGGTCATTTTCCAGAGCTGAGCAGTGAGGCAGCCCTGTAGCTAAGCAGAGACGTACCCACTAAAGAAATCATAAGGCCGGGTGTGGTGGCTCATGCCTGTAATCCCAGCACTTTGGGAGGCTGAGGTGGGCAGATCACCTGAAGTCAGGAGTTCAAGACCAGCCTGACCAAGATGGCAAAACCCTGTCTCTACTAAAAAAACAAAAATTAGCCGGGCGTGATGGCGCATGTCTATAATCCCAGCTACTCGGGAGGCTGAGGCAGGAGAATTGCTTGAATCCGGGAGGTGGAGGTTGCAGTGAGCTGAGATCCTGCCATTGCACTCCAGCCTGGGCGACAAGAGTGGAACTCTGTCTCAAACAACAACAACAACAAAAAGAAATAATAAAAATGGTTAAAAATTGTTCTTGGCCAGTAACTCTGAAAGAAATTCCATGGATGAACTGTTGTAAGGGATTTCTTTTTCTTTTCTTCTTCTATTGGCATTTCCTTAAGTTACCCATGACATTTTAATAAAGTGTAATTAAAAATTCAAAGCTGGATGGACTGCGACAAATGAAGAGAAGGTTAATTCTATGCTAAGGATGGAGCGATCGGGGACGAAGCATCTCTAGCCCTCCTATCTTCTGTTGATAAAGACTCACCTTCGCAAGCGGGACAACAGTGGTCCTGGCATGATATTGGGCATATAAGTAGTGCCCAGGGCAGAAAAGATGCATTGTGAGGGTCCAGGCAGTTACGGAGGCTGAGCTCAGGTGAAGGAGGAAGAGGGAGATAGCAGAGGGGTTAAGAGTCTTCTGGGCTTGTAAGTCAATGTTATTTCTCCCGCACTTCTGGGTTGGTGAAGCCCATCTGGCCACAGATTTATTTACATGTAAATATATTTTATTTACATTTACATAGTTATATGTAAATAGATTTATATACAAGTATATTTACATGTTTGTACAGAGCTACATATGTTTACATATATGTAAATAATGTTTACATACATATACCCATGCATATACATTTTAACTAGACTGTGATTCTTTTCTTTTCTTTTTTTTTTGAGACGGAGTTTCACTCTTGTTGCCCAGGCTGGAGTGCAATGGTGCGATCTCCGCTGACTGCAACCTCCACCTCCCAGGTTCAAGCAATTCTCCTGCCTCAGCCTCCTGAGTAGCTGGGATTACTGGTGCCTGCCACCACGCCCGGCTAATTTTTGTATTTTTAGTAGAGACGGAGTTCCACCATGTTGGCCAGGCTGGTCTTGAACTCCTGACCTCAGGTGATCCACCTGCCTCAGCCTCCCAAAGTGCTGGGATTACAGGCATGACCCACCGCACCCAGCAACTGACTGTGATTCTTTATAATTCACAGACATGCCTTACCCACACATTCAGCATAACACTGAGTACAGTATATTTCCATGATAGACCTTCAGTATTTGAACTCAATTTAAATTATTAGATATTCTAAAGACATTTTGAAGGCAAAAAATTTTCTGAGTTGAAGAGTCAGCTAAGTGAATATACCAATTGTTAGCTCACAAAATTAATTCAAGCAGTAATGGGTAGGTATTTAACATTCATGAAGAAAAGATGTAACCAGTTTCCAAAGTATGAGTCTAAGAAAATTATTCATAGAAAAAAATGAGAGAAAATGGATTCTTAGTGTTTTAACAACAAATATTATTGCATGTCACAATGTGACTGCCTTTTTAAATTAAAAATAAAATAACCTAAGCCTGATCTAGAAATGATTGCTTGCTAATGGTTCAAGTGACTCATAATAAATCACTATAATTGAAATGAAGAATTATTACAAGTGCAATCAACAATAGAACATGTCTATGGAGGTGGTTCCAGCTTGAAGAAAGAAAATAATAAGACTCTTACTTAATATCCAGGTAAAATATGTCAGAACCTCTGAAAAGGAGCACTGAAAACTTCAAAGAATTATTAATGTTCAAGGCATCTGGAGAAAAAGGAGTAATAAGAACAGAGAGTTCAAAGGTAAAAACCTGTCAATATTGCAGAAATAGAAAGCATTACCCAATTAATAGTGGGAAGGAAAGGTGGGATGGGTGAAGGAATGATCACTTATAGGATACTTGTTTGGTGCCAGATACTATGAAAATTATATTACTTGTACTATTTCTTCATAAGATATTTTATTAGATTCCCATGCTACAAGGAAGGATGTAGAGGAAAAAAACATTATCTATTTATCTATCTATCTATCTATCTATCTATCTATCTACCTCTTCATTTAATAGTGGCAATGGGAGGAATGAAAACATAACAGTCTGCTTCATGTAAAGAAAAGCATGACCATCATTGGCTTCATGGGTAGGTGACCTATGCAGTGGCACAAGACTCAACTCTCTCAAGTGGAAGCACACTGGGAATTATGCTCTCTGACACTGTATTGAAATTCTTAATAATTTTATTTTTGAATTCGTACTGTGCAAGTGAAGGCCTATGGAACAACCTGCATGCAGGTGAACAGAGGAGATACGCCAGGAGGCAGTGTGTGGGCTGAGCGTTTGGCCTTGTCACCCGGCATGTGTACACAAGCCTGGGGCACTCTAGTGCACCACATGGGCCTGAGAAAAGGGCTTATGGGATGAACCTGGGCCCAGATGGCAGTGGTGATGGTTGCAGTAGAAGCTGTAGCTGTGGCAATAGCAGTTTGTCTGGGGAGAGAGAGGAGGGGCTCCCCATGGGGCAGCACTGGGACCCATGGTGGGACACAGTTTCGGCATTTCTACCCCTGAGGCATCTGTATAAATATTAACTAACTCGGCTGGGCACAGTGGATCATGCCTGTAACCCCAGCACTTTGGGAGGCTAAGGCAGATGGATCTCAAGGTCAAGAGCTCGACACCATCCTGGCCAACATGGTGAAACCCCATCTCTACTAAAAATACAAAAATTAGCTAGGCATGGTGGCATATCCCTGTAGTCGCAGCTACTCAGGAGGCTGAGGCAGGAGAATCACTTGAACCCAGGAGGCAGAGGTTGCAGTGAGCTGAGACTGCACTGCTGCACTCCAGCCTGGCCACAGAGCAAGACACTCAAAAAAAAAAAAAAATTAACTCCACGGCTTAAGTGCTAGGAAAGGAACTGCCAGTGCTCAGCAGGTACATTTTGTTAGTAAACTATTAATAGTACATATGAAGTGATGTCAGTAAATGTGGTGGAGTAAGGATCTCCCAATATTCTTTTGTCCGCCATAAAAGTGGTGAGAAAATTTGAAAAAAATTCAAAAGGAAAATCATCAGAATAAACATTTTCAGAACTCTGGAGATTGACCAAAGGCTTGCAGAAATCAGAGGAGCATTTATTCAAGAAGAAGGTCAAATGTTGGTAAGAACAGTTGGTTTTATGGTGGTTTAAATTGCCATAGTTCCATCACCCACTCTCCACTTCCACAATATCCTTCAAAACAATAGCCCACATTTGTAGTGAAAGCCAGTAGTCATCAAGGGAGTGAATGGTGCTAGAGTTCTTTAAAAGTCTCATACTCAGAATATTGTCATTATTTGATCTATCTGGTGGTTCTCTGGGGAAGAACCTACTTGTAAGACAATCTGTGTTTGATTTGACTCAGAGCACTTTTATGGGAAGAAAGAAAAAACTTTTTTTCCTGGAGGTAAATGTCAGAAAAATGAAACTAAATAAAACAGGCCCTTGATTAACTTTACACTATTAAAGGTAGAGAATAATAGCTGGGGCAAACAATAAATGGGCCAAAAAGGTTTAAGTAAAAGGTAGGACATTAGATGCCCATGGGCGTTTTGATACGCTGTGAAATGTTCCTGGGAATACAGAAGTCTAGGTGCATGTCCAGGGCAGTGCTTATGCACAGGACAGTGTACTTGTTAAAAAAGTTTTGAGACGATTCCAAGCTCTCACCACTGGCTAATCTTGACACTCTGCAAAGCAGGAGGCAAAGGCTAATGTAGAGGTGAAAACATCTAGTCCAAGCATTGATATAATCAATTCTTCAACACACACAGAGAGCCCCTTGGCAGTAGTAGCAGACTTATTGGTTACAAGCATTAAAAGCAATCTTTGTTCAATCCATTAACTGACCTCTAAGCTAACTGGGCAGAGTCTTCTGTAGTCACATATGACAATGAATACAAACTTTGCAGAATTACTTCATAAAAGTCACAAAACAAGAAAATGGTAACTACAAAAAAAAAAAAAAAAGAAAAAAACAGCAAAAACAAAAAGTTCTGGGGAAGTGTGAGAATTTGATATCCAAGTTAGTCACATTATGTTATTGAAAATGTCATTTTCAAGAAAAAAGTGTGAGTCATGCAAAGAAGGAAGTATGGTCCTTATACCATGAAAGGCTTCCTTGAGGAAGCCTACATATTGGACTTACTAGACAAAGACATTAAATTGGCTATGCTAAATATTCACAAAGAACTTAAAAAAATCATGTCTAAAAAACTAAAGAAAAATATGAGAATGATGCTTCACCTAATAAAAATATATACAAAGAGGTAAAAATCATATTTCAAAGAAGAACCAAATAGAAATTCTGGATTTGAAAGGTATAATGACTGAAATGGACGATTCCCTAGAGGGTACCATCCCTCTAGGGAACTATGACATAATATAAAAATATGTAATTCATATGACAACAACAACACAAAAGAGGGTGGAATAAATAAAGCTATTTAAGAGCATATTTTTTGTATACTACATGTAACAGTACACTATAAAATATCTATTTAACAGAAATGAAACAATAATGAAGAAAAAGAGAGAAAAAGATAAATAAAACTATAAAAAAGAAATGGTAAAATGGCAGATGTAAACCTGTATTATTGGTAATTACGTTAAATGTAAATGGATTAATATATTAAACACTCTAATAAAAAGGCAAAGATTGGCAGACTAGACTTACAAAGCATGATCCAAATATCCCATCTAGTATACACACTTTAGAATCAAATAAAGAACTAACGAAGTAAAAAGACACAAATATACCACACAAACAGTAATGAAAAGAGAGCTGGAGTGATTATACTAATCTCAGACAAATAGACTTTAAGACAACAATTGTTATTCATACATTTTCTAATATTAATGTCAATCCATCAAGAAGATAAATGATTATATATAGTTACCTAATAACAGAACACCAAAAAAACATGAAGCAACAACTGACAGAATTGAAGAGAGAAATCTAACATTTAAAATAATGCCTGGAGACTTTAACACTCTACTTTCAATAATGAATAAAATAGTAACCAGAATATCAACAAAGAAATGGAGGAAATGAGCACCATTAAAAACCAGATAGACCTAACAGACATTTCTAGAAAACTTCACCCAAGGACACAAGAATTCACATTCTTTCCAAGTGCACATTGAATATTCTGCAAGATAGTCCATATATTAAGCCATAAAACAGGCTTCAGTAAAGTTGGAAAGATTGAAATCATACAAGGTATGTTCCCTAATCACAAAAAAATACATTTAAAAATAAAAAATAGGAGAAAATTTTGGAAATTCAGACAGATGTGGAAAGTAAACAATACATTCCTACATGATAAATAGGTCAAAGAAGAAACATGTGAATAAGAAAATACTTTGAGATGAATAGAAATGAAAAGATAACATATCCAAAACCTACAAAATGTAGTTAAAGTAGTGATTAGAAAGATGTTTAGAATGGAAATAATTGATATTGAAAAACCTCTAGCTAGACTGACCAAAATAAAAGAGAGAAGGTTCAAATTGTTTCAATTAGGAATAAAAGAGGAGGCATTACTACCAATATTACAGAAATATAAAGGTTTATAAATGAAAACTATTAGCAATTGTATGCAAGGAAATTAAATTGTCTGGATAAAATGGACAAGTTTCAGAAAACACAAATTATCAAAACCGACTTTCTTGTATTAGAACTTAGAAATTCTGAACAGATCTATAACAACTAAGAGGTTGAATTAATTCTCAAAGAATTTCCCATAAAATGAAGGCCAGGACTGGATAATTTTAATGACGAATTATGCCAAATATTTAATGAAGAAATAACACCAATTATTCATGAACACTTCTCAAAAGAGAGAAGACAAAGAAACACTTCTCTTCTTATTCTATGAGGCCAATTTTACCCTGATACTAAAACTATCCCAAGACATCATAAAACAAAATCACAGATCAATATCCTTTATGAACATCCTGAATACAAGATTACAAAAAGTAACCCAGAAGCACATAAAACAAGTTTTACACTATTCCCAAGTGGTATTCATCACAGGATTGCATAGTTGATTCAATAAATGAAAATAAATCACTGTATGAATACAATAAAGGACAAAACCAGGTTATAATAAATGCAGGATAAAAATACTTGACAACATCCCAAACTTTTTCACGATAAAAATACTCAATAAACCAGGAATGAAAGGGACTTCCTCAAACTGATAAAGGGCATCTATGAAAAATCTGCATCAAGCTTAATTGTGAAAGATTGAAAGTTTTCCTCCTAAAATCAGGGGCAAGACAAGGATATCCATTTTGCTACCTCTGTTCAATATTGTACTAAAGATGCTAGACAGAGGAATTAGGCAAAAATAAAAAATAAAAAAAAACAGCATGCCTTCAGATTGGAAAAGAAGAAACAGAATTATCTCTATTTGCAGATGATATGATCTTGTATGTAGAAAATCCTAAGGAATCTATAAAAAATACTATTTGAGCTAATAAATGAATTCAGCGAGGCCATAGGATACATTATTACACACATATTTGTTGTGTTTCTATGTATTAGGAATGCACAATTTGAAGATGAAATGAGGAGAGTATTTTCATTTTCATTTACAATAGCATAAAAATAAAATTCTTAGAAATAAACAAAGAAGTACAAAACTTGTGCACTTAAAGGTAAAAATGCCATTGAAAAACAATAAGAAGGCATAAATAAAGGCAATGACACATGTTCATGGATTTGAAGGCAATATTGTTAGAATAACAGTATACACCAAACTGATGTACAAATTCTATGCAATCCCTGTCAAAATTCAAGCTGTCTTTTTTTCAAAGAAATGGAAAAGCTTTTTTTAAAATTCACACAAAATGCATAGGACCCAGAATAAGTAAAATAATATTGAAAAATAAGAACAAAGTTGCAAGATTCACCTTTCTTGGTTTTAAAACTTACTACAAAGTTTTCACTCTCAAAACTATATGGTATTAGCATTAAGGATGGACACATTGACCATGAAATAGAATTGAGAATCCAGATATACATCCGTATGTTTGTTGTTAAGTGATTTTTGACAAAAATGCCAAGACCGTTCAATGGGGAATAACAATTTCTTCAGCAAATGGTGCTCAGACAACTGGATATTCATATACAAAAGACTGAAGTTGGACACCTACCTCACAGCATATACAAAAATAGACTCAAATGAATGAAACCCAAGCATAAAAGCTAAAGTTTTAAAAGTCTTATTAGAAATATAGCTGTAAATCTTCATAACCTTGGATTAGGCAATGTATTATCTTAGCTATGCAAAAACATGATAACCAAAGACAAACAGATTAACTGAATTTCATTAAAATGTAAAATGTTTGGCTGGGCACGGTGGCTCACGCCTGTAATCCCAGCACTTTGGGAGGTTGAGGTGGGCAGATCACCAGGTCAGGAGATCAAGACCATCCTGGCTAACACGGTGAAACCGGTCTATACTAAAAATACAAAAAATTAGCTGGGTGTGGTGGCAGGGGCCTGTAGTCCCAGCTACTCGGGAGGCTGAGGCAGGAGAATGGAGAACAGCGTGAACCTGGGAGGTGGAGCTTGCAGTGAGCCCAGATTGAGCCACTGCACTCCAGCCTGGGCAACAGAGTGAAACTCCATCTCAAAAAAAAAAAAAAAAAAAAAACGTAAAATATTTGTGCTTCAGAGAACATTGTCAAGAAAGTGAAAAGATGATCCACAGAATGGGCAAAAATATTTCCAAATCATACCATTTATAATGGCCTAATATCCAGAATATATAAAGAACTCTTATAATTCTACAAGAAAAACCAAATAACTTATTTTTAGAATGGGCAAAGTGACAGAATAGAATTTAAGCAAGATATGTGAATGGTCAGTATACTCCTGAGAAGATGTTGAACATCAATAGTTATTAGGGAAATGAAAATCAAAACCACAGTGTTATACTATTTAAAAAAAAACC